>NC_000020.11:6429971-6581486 GCF_000001405.40 Homo sapiens | reverse complement strand
CTTCAGGGTCAAGTGGATGACCCTTCGTGGACCCAACATCCCTCCTTCTTGGCCACACTTCGGACACCTGGAAACAGAATTCCCTACCCAAATGGTCCTGAGCTGGTATTCAGAACTTGCAGGGGAATCTTTCCTTGTTCTGTCCCCATTAGAAGTGGATGGTGTGCACCTATACAGGCCCAAGGGGCAGCAAGAGGCCATTGCATAGCAGTGGGGTGGCTGGAACTGTGAGATGGAGTGTGTGTACACCTGCGTGGGCTGTCCCATGTGGACAGAGTCAGGGATTAGGAAGAGAAAGAACCAAGCCATAGACTGGGCAGGGGACAGGAGAGGGGATATTATTTTACTTTTGTTCTGGCCCCAAAAGTGTGAGGGGTAGCCCTGGCTGGCACAACCCCCTGAGAGGAGGTAATGAGAGGATGAGGGAGAAAGAACAGTGAAGGGATGTTGTAGAAAGAAAAATCTTAGTTGGCTGCTTGCTGGGGGCTGCCCTGCCCCCATGTGGTATCCTGGAGGCTGCTTTTCAGGTCCAGTAATTACAGGTCTGGCCAAGGGATGGGATGGGGTGGGGTTGAGGTAAAGTGGGTGAGGTCCTTTGGGAAAAGGTGGTTAGATGTCTGAGGCTGCAAAACCCGGGTACTGGCCAAGTACAAGGAACAATGTTTGGCAGAGAACAAGGGGCGGGGTCACTCCTGGCTGCTGGGCCTGGCCAGGTGCTTGGTCTGCTATGGACGTGTGGGCATAAGTCCCACACTTTCCCCTGGATGAGCCATTTTTTTGGCTCTCTTCAAGTGAGGGCTGAGGTAAGAACACATCTGGGGATGCAGCTGACCTTTAGGGAGATGACCTCATCTCTGCCTCCTATTACATGCGCTCAAAGTGACTTTGAGAATCCCAGCCTTTTGCTCAGTAGCTATCTTAACAACATGATTCTCAGAAGCATCCTTGAAGGGTTGCAACCCACACTACCACAGGCAAAGTTTCTCCTGCCTTTTGGGGAACACAGAATGCTTCACTCTGAGGGGATGCAGGCTGAACTACATGGCCTTGAGGTCCCTTCCAAGGCTGGGATGGCAAGATATTTGCAGTCCTGGTCTTTCCTACCCAACGTTCCCTATCTTCGTAGATGTTTCTGTGCTGCTTTAGCATGTATTGACAGAAGTAGTGGTGCTCCAGGGAGCCATTGGGCTGCTGCTAATAAGGCATCATGATACATTCTGTAACCAGAGGTGGATGTTGATAAAGACTTGGTGCATTTTTGTGGGTTGCAGTTTGGCTAATTAGTACAATTAGATCATTCTTTTTATTCATGAATGCAGATGATTATATGTCATCTTTATTCTAGTTTGTGTTAAGATGTTGCACAAGAAAATAAGATAAGTCCCGAAAAATCCAGAACACTGAAGAGTCTTTCTTTTGGGAAGATTATTGTAGATTTGGCACAAAACTATGTATTGAAGCATTCCAATGCCTTCATGGGAGAATTCTTCTGGAACTCTTTATTTCCACATGTGGCCCAGGATCCAAATGTGGAAGGGCTAATTGTTGACCAAAACGGAGTCTCTGGAAAAGAGAAAGCAATAAGAATACGCAGATACAGAGTGAGGAAGTCTAACTTTATGAATAAAGTGATGAGGCCACTGCCTAGGTAACAGAGGGACAGGATAGGAGGGCCATCCTGACACCTGGCTCAAGGGAGGGGAAGGGGCTTCACAGTGGGCTTGGGCAGTGACAAACAAAGTCTTTTTCAGAGCAGTAGGTCTCAGGCACTTCGGCAGCGTGGTAGAGGTGACAATTCCAAAGGAGGCAGCCACAGTGGTGCTAGCTGCCCGAAGGTCTCAGAGAAAGCAACTAAGCCTACGCCATAAGTTGTGCAATGCAGACTGTCTTAAGTTTAGATTCTCCCAGAAACTGGTCACGAGACAAGAATGTGAGTACAAGTAATTTATTTGGAAGATGCTCTCACAAAACACTGGGAAAAGAAAGGAAAAATGATACAGGTAAGGGAAAGCAGTCAATAGAAGGTATGCTGTTAAGCAAATTACCACTGTGGGTAACTGGAGCCCAGTTCAACTGGGCATCTCTGGGGGACAGTATAGAGCATACGTTTCAGTCATCTGGCTCAAGAGGCAAGGGAGTTGAGTATCCACCAACTCCCATCAGTCACTGGCTGAAGGATTCTCCTAGAGAGTTTTACCTTCTCAGCATTTTCAGCCTGCCCTGCACAGATGGTAATTTTATTATTTATTTATTTATTTATCATGTGTCATTTTTTATTGATTAATTATCATTTATTTTATTTGACATTTATAATGATAAATTTTATGACCCTGGGTCATCAGACAGAGTTCTCAGTCATGGTGTCACGACTTCTTCTTCCTCCAACTCCGTCAACTCTCCCTCTCTCACCAACCTCAAAATGTCTGATTGAATTTCTTAGGGATGTCCACTCTGCCAAGTGAGTAACCATGATATTTATATTATTCAAAAGGGGTACAGTTGCAAAGACAGTGTTCTTAGAAAGGCCCTTGTCGGGACCACTAGCACTTTAATAGCTAGTTGCAGACCTCTAGTGAGGTTGAATAATTACAATCAAGGAGCTATAGCCGTTTCCATGACCGCACTTACATTTCTGCAGAAAGGCCCATTTCCCTCCCCATCCCCCATGACAGTTCACTTTGTATTAATTATAGATTACATGCTTCAGCCCTCTATCATTATGCTAGCACATTCTCATAAAGAATGGTACATTAACCATAAAAAAAAAAAGAAAGGCCCTTGTCAATTATCTTAGATACCCAGCCTTTATTCTTAGCCATTAGGCCACCCCCACCCACTGCCTGCCACCATCAGTGCTTTAGATGAACTCTCCTATTTAATCCTCACTAAATCCTATGAGTTAGATGCTCTTTTAACGATCAACTCCAATGCAAGGATGAGGAAAATGTGACTTGGGTTAAAGAGCTTTCCAAAGCCACACAGCAATTCATAGGCCTGTCTACCCACTAATCTAAGATTCTCTATGATCACATTCTCCTGCCTCCAGTTACTTTCAGATAATCCAGGGTGTCTCCATAGGATGGCATAGACACACCTGATGGATGGACTCCAAAGACGTCAGAGAAACAAGAAAACAAAAATTCCTCTTAGTATATTTTTCTAAAGTAAGAGTGCTTGTTAAACTGTAACATATGTAAGGAAAAGTGTCCAAATCACAAGTATTCAACTAACTGAATTTCCACAAACGGAACACACAGTGCAGGGTTCAGCAACAGGAACATAAGCAGAACTCAGTAGGCCCTCACCCTCTCCTTACCATTTTTACCATAAAGATCAAACGTTACTATTATCTTGACTTCTAATACCATGGATTATCACTGTATGATTTTGAAATTGTGTAAATGAGATATGTCATGTTATATTCATCAGATTCATCCATGTTGTTGCATGTAGCTGTATTTAATTCATTCTCAGTATCTCATGCATGAATACAGTACAATTTATTCATCCTCTCTGTTGTTCAAGGATGTTTGGGTAGTTTTCAGTTTGAGGCTATTGCAAATAGAAAATTTCTTACCCATGCCTTTTGGTGTACTTATGTATGCATTTCTGTTAGAGATATATATGTGGAGATATGGATATATATATAGATAGATATCCATGCATGCATTTCTGTTGGATATGTGTGTGTGTCTGTGCATTCTCTTGGATATTTATGTGTATTTGTGTATATATATGTATATATGAGTGGAATTTCTGGGCAATATGGTGTGTTCAACTTCAGGGGAAACTTGGATTCAAAAGTCAGGCTTCTCTCAATGAGCTCCCCTCCTTTCCAGGATCTGACTGCTTAGACAGCTTTCTGAGGCATTCAAACACGTGGTGTCTGAATTTTGTTCAGTTTCTAGTTTTTCTCAGCAGGAGGATTTGTCTACTCTAAGTTACAAGTATGCAAAAGCATACTCTTAATGCATTTTAATAATTTACTTACATGCACTTATTTAATCACACATCCTATTTAATGATGTTGAAATAACTATATAGACTATGTAGTTATTATGTAGTATAGACTATAGACAAAAACATCTAAATACAATTGATGTTGCAGTTATTGTGCTGCCAACCTCTTTCCTGACTCTGGTTTGTTTCATTGGGTTTGTATTTTCCACTGCCTTTGGAAGCTGTTTATAGTCTGTCCATTAATTTCAGATTTAGAAACAGATGCATGTTGAAGTATAGATGTTAAGTACCCAATTAGCACCTTTCCATCATTCCTTTGAATCATTAAATGTCCTGAAATCACGCCTCTCTTGCCCTCTGGCCTTTCAAGATTTCTTTTCTCTTGCTACTCTTTCCTGTGGTTTAGGTCTCATTTTTAGTTTGCTTTTGTGCATCAGAATTCCTTGGGGTAGGGGATAGAAGAGCTGTCAAAACACAGATTGCTGGGCCCTACCTTCAGAATTTCCAATTCAGCAGGGCTGGATGAAGCCCAATAATTTGCATTTCGAACAAGTTCCTAGGAGATTCTGATGCTGTTGAGCCAGAAACCACATTTTGAGATAGGCTCTTTAGAGCAATCTCTATTTTTCTCTAGTAATTTTGAAATGTCTTTTCAAAAGAAAGCATTGTGTCTACTCCAGCTGTTTCTAATTTCCTCATGCTGGATTGCGCCCATCAACCGGAGAGTGATAAAACATAGGATTTTAAAAGGGCTGGACCCATGTTCCTCCTGCATCAATTTTAAGAAAACAAAGCAATGGTATAAATAGTTAAACAGGTCCTTCCCCAATAACCAGGAATCAAAAGCTCCTTTTCAACTGAGTTATATTTAAAGGAGCTTTCTTTAAATTTTGGACATATTTGGGAGGAGGGGAATTAAACGGAAGGTTCCTGTACCACTCAAATCTCCCCCTTCCATCATTTAAAAAAATGTCATTTATGACTGCAGGCCTGTGAAGCCAACTTTATTTATAATTCTCAGTAGCCCTCAGGTTCTGGGGCAATCTAAAGACACAAGCCTTTCTTTGTTTTTACATGAAATATCTGTTGAATACACATTTTATGCATATTTGTCCAAATTTAGTCAAAACAACACAAACTCTCAGCTATCAGGAAGTGTATTCTGATGTACAGTAGGTAAAACAAACACGAGGTTGAATTCACACAATGGTATTCATGGCATTTTGTCAACTTTTAAACCTTTACAGTATGTGGTGTACAATAGCAGCCTGAAGTTGCAATGTGCTCCTCTGTAATCAAAGCCCATCTATCCGCAGAAGAGAAGGGTGCAAGGGACTTTTCCCTCGCGTCTGAGATGAAACAGACAGGACTGTTTCTCTGTCTCACTATGCATACTCGGGGCATGACAGTTTCCATGTAAGGGAAAACTGCTGCTTTTAACAGAAGATAAATTAAGCCCTGGGGTTAGAGTGAAACCTTTAAGGTCAGAATTCAGATGATAAGAGCAAATGGAGGTTTCCCCAGCTGTGTCAGAGAGCTAAGCAAGAGGTGAGGTTTATCGGCCTTCCTGCAATGGTGCTAATGAGTGATAAGGAGCTCTAATTTGAAGACGCCCTGGAGCTGTTAAAGTGTGCGTGAAATGCACACAATTCATCAGCAGAGCAATAATCTTCCCCTTACACAAATGGAAAAGCCATTTTTGTGTGCTTGGATTTCTGATCAAAGCCTAGGGGGAAAAGGGGAAAGAGAAACTAAATTTTAGAACACTTCGTATGTGCCAGGAAATATTCTCACCCTTTACCAAGGGTCAGTCAGCTGACAAAATCCTCATTATAACTTCCCAAATATGGTACCATGTTTACAGATGAGGAAACTGAGGCACATAGAAGTTAAATGACACATTCTGTGCCTCAGTTTCCTCATCTGTAGACAAAGCTGATAAATTAAGGAATAGATGTTTAAATCCACACCTGCCTGATTTCCATTCTATTATTTCCCTACTAGCATTGTTCATTCTTCAACATATAATATATAGGACACCCAACTGGCAATTTTTTTCAGGAAATACATATCAGAATGCCGATAAGCATTTTAGGTTGAAAAAGACCTGAGGTGATTCTAACCCATCTCCCCAACCTAAGGCATGCCCTGTGGCTTTACTCTACCCTGGATCAATTGAAAATCATTGGATACATGACAGTGGTGCTTTAGTGAAAAACCATTCGAGTGGGAACTTGGAAGTTTGGATCAGCTCTGCTACTGATAACTGCGTCATTTCAGGCAAATGACTGAAAATGCAACACTTGTTTAATCAATATTTAATTGTTGCACAAAGATTTAGTAGTAACACTTCCCATGTTGCAGGCACTATGCCAGCTGGTGTAGATAGAAGCTTGTATAAGCCAGATTCTTGGCTTGCAAGTTGTCCATGGTCTAGTGAGGAAGCCAGACATATAAACATCTTTGACATTCCCATAATGCAGTATGATAGCATGGATTCCTTCCTATAAGGGATTACGAGAACATGGTTCCAAAAGCTCTTGCTTCTGCCTCAATGGGCAGAGAAGTCAGGGAAACCTCAACAAGAAAGGAGAGAATGGAAGGAGTTTGCCAGGCTGATATGGTGAAGCGCAGAAGGGAGGTTCCATGTTAAGGGAATGGCATATGCAGACATGAGGTCATGTTCATGAAGCTGAATGCCATTTGCTAGAGTTGAATCATTAAGGACATGGCATGTCGTGCTACAGAGTTTGAACTTTATCTTGTAAGTGATGGTGAGACAGGGAAATTTTGTAGAGCCATGAGGTGGTTAAATTTATGTTTTAGGAAAAGCCCTGAGTAGTGTGACAAATGAATTGGAATGAGATGAGACTAGAGGCAAGGAAACCAATCCGGAAGCTGTTACAAAGATTCAGATAAGAGGTGATGTTGGCTTAATCTAGAAAAGGTGTGTGTGTGTGAGGTTCTGGTTTAAGAAAGTGCTGGTGCACTCAAAAGGTGCTGGTTCAGGAGACATTCTTAAAGTAGAATGACCATGCACGTTTCAGCAGTCAACATAATTTGAGAGAGATGGTAGAACAAACTGTGAGGACGTGGTTATGCCTGTTTTGTTCACTATTATGTATGCTACTCTTCACATAGTGTGAGCCACATAATAGTTGCTGCACGAAATATGAATGAATGAATAAATATGTGAATACATGAGTGAATGAGTGATGACTTCCAGGTCTTGGGTTTGGATGAATGCTTGGATCATTAACCAAAATAGGGAAGTAATAGGACAATTCATAGGGTATGAGAAATTGAATTTAGTTTTGAGTATTTGAGATATACATGAGAAATGCACTTGGAAATATGAACGTATAGTTCCAGGAATGGAAATTCAAGACTAAATATTATGGTTTGAAAGTCAGAGATATAGAGACATTATTTCAGTCTACTAGAAAAAATATTACCCAGGCAAAATAGCAAACTGCTCAAGCAATTATTTATTTATCTGCTGATTTATTCCAGATATATTTATTGAGAGTCTTGAGAGAATACTTTGCTTCAGGCTTTGGGCAAAGTTTAAGCAATGAATAGATTCTATTTGGTCTCTGCCTTCAGGATGCATATCACAGTTGCAGAGGCAGTTAAAAAAATAAGGAAACAGACAAATGAGGCAGTTTCAACTTGCCATAAGTACTGCAAAGGACACAAGTGGCTGAGACAGAGAATTAGAAAAGGAAGTCTTCTTGAAGGAGTTGACATTTAATTTAATAAAACAATGGCTGCAGAAGCCTTAGGTGTAAAAGCATTTATCTACTGTGCCCAAGAAATTGAAAGGTAATGGCACATGGCTAGAGATTAGTGAATGAGGTGGAAACAACATTTGAAGAAGTTGATCAGATAAGAAGGAACTAAGTTATCCAGAAACTTTAGGATTTGAGTGAGAATTTCAGTTCTAAAAGCAATGGAAAACCATTGAAGGGTTTTAAGTAGGGAATTATTTAGATTTTTGTTATAAGGTTATACTTTTTAAATGTTAAAAATGAATTGTATGTGTCAGAACTGAAAATAGATAGGTTGAAGATGGTCTCTACCTGCTACTTTATGGGAAGATATAGAGAATGAGGCAACATGAAAGGTGTGAATATATTCTGAAAAACAAAACAAAAAATTATAGATCTCTTTGTTTATGTATATGTATGTATGTGTATATATATATATATATATATAAAATGTAAAATTCAAACAGAATATTTTAAGAAGATATAGTTGTAACATAGAATTTAGTAAAAATGTTAGGTCAGGGAGTAAAGAAATAATGCTAATATTATTAGTATTAAATTATATTTCAGAATCTTTAAAAATGATTATCCATCTTGTTAATATCTAAGCCTCACTTTTTTCAATTTTTCTTAGTTGTTTTTTGAATGTGTCTCTTAAGTAGCTTGGGTTTTACAAATTCAGTCAATTAATCCAGAACCTTGTAGGAGGTGAATTTAAACTGTTTATATTTGTTTTAATTACTAATATATATGGGCTTATTTCAGCTATCTTATGTTTTTATACTTACTAAGATTCGTTTGCCTATTTGTTCTCATTTCATGCCTTCAGTTTTACAATTTCTTTAGTTTTCTCTATGCTAGTTTGGAAGCTGCGCATTATACAGCCAGTCTGTTCATTAACATGCACAGGTAGCTTTACATATTTTAACAAGCTCTGTAGTTAATCAACATCTCTGTCCTCCTAGCAAGGTAAAAAATGTATATGGATATTTCACAGTTCACTTCGCTTTAAGCACAAACTAAGTCAGTTATTACTATTATCATTCATATTACTAAGTACAATGGATTTACCAATATATTTCACCAGTTTCTGTGTTTATAACTGTGTCATGCATCTTATTTCCTTGTCTATAAGGTATTATCTTTCTTACTAGAATTCATCTTTCAGTTTGTTCAACAAGGGTGCTGGATTTTTTATGAATGTTACTCTGTTTCACTGTCACCTTGAGTGAGAGTGGCAGACTATGTAAAATCCAAGCTTAACAGTTACTTTCTTTAGCCCTTTGACTATATTACCACACTGTCCTCTAGCACCCTGTGTTGCCGATGAGAAATGCATCTTATTTTTTTATTTTTTAAAAACTAAAAACAAAAGTAACTAAAATCCTTTTGCAGGTCATCACTCTGAAGAGCTGTGTTTTCTCTTTGTGTAAGAAAACAGTGATAATGAGTTTCAAGTCTTATGAGCTGCTGTGTTGAATCTACCTGCCAAAAGAGAGTCCGTGATTGTCTAAAATGCTTCTCCAACCACCCTGGCAGCAAAAGATATCTTGCTTTACAAGTTCTCTATAGTTTTACAGATGTTGAAAGGGCTAGGAAAAAGTGATCAGCAAGTCACAGAAAGGTAAAATTGGAAGAAATTCTGCAGTTAATTTACAGATATTTGGCAGTGCCTCTGGTCGGTGACAGAGCCAGCAATAGAACCCAGTCTCTTGGCTTTCAACTGTGTTCTTTGTACAACCACAAAATGTTCAAGACTGAGAAAGAATTGCCACAGGAGACCTCCTTCTTGCTATGTATAGACACTCTGCTCTTCTAGAACTGGCCAGTCTTTTCTTGTCTCCCTACTTAAGCAGTGGTGTTCAGAGTAGATACATTATATCAATTTTCCTAATTATAAGAATCCACTAAGACTAAAAGAAAAATATCTGAAATTCTCTCAGCTCTACCTACTTTATTTTTTTTGGAAAGTACACGTTTTAATATGGTGTTTTTCTTGAACCACTCAAAAGTGCAAGGGAAAATGCTTTTTAAACACTTAAGTAACACACTTGTACCAAGATGGCATTATTTATTTATTTTTTAAATTTTAGCTTTCATTTTAGATGCAGGGGGATATATGTGTAGGATTGTCACATGGGTATATTTGACCCAGGTGGTAAGCATAGTACTCAATAAGTAGTTTTTCAACCCACAACCCCTTCTGTCCCTCCCCACTCTAGTAATCCACATGGTCTATTTTCTTCATGTTTATGTTCATGTGAGCTCAATGTTTAGCTCCCACTTATGAGTGAGAACATGCAGCATTTGGTTTTCTGTTCCTCCATTAATTCACTAAGGATTATGGCCTCCAGCTCTATCCATATTGCCACAAAGGACATGATTTTATTCTTTTTTATGGTTATATAGTATTCCATGGGGTATCTGTACCACATTTTCTTTACTCAGTCCACCATTGATGGGCACCTATGTTTATTCCATGTCTTTGGTATTATGAGTAGAATAGTGATGAACATATGAACGCATGCATCTTTCTGATATAATCATCTATATGCCTTTGGTTATATACCTGGTAATGGCATTTCTGGGTCAAATGGTAGCCCTGTTTTAAGTTCTTTGGGAAATCCCCAAATTGCTTTCCACAGTGACTGAACTAATTTACATTCCCACTTACAGCGTATATGTGCTTTCTCTGCAGCTTCATCAGCATCTGTTGTTTTCATTTTTTGTTTTTTTTCTTGTTTTTGACTTTTTAATAATAGCCATTCTGACTGGTGTGACATGGTATTTCATTGTGGTTTTGATTTGAATATCTCTGATAATTAGTGATGATGAGCATTTTTTTCATATTTGTTGGCCGGTTGTAAGTCTTCTTTTCAAAAGTGTTTGTTCATGTCTTTTGCCCACTGTTTAATGGGGTTATTTGTTTTTTGCTTGTTGATTGATTTAAGTTTCTTATAGAATCTAGATATTGGACCTTCGCTGGAGGCATAGTTCGTAAGTATTTTCTACCATTCCATAGGTTGTCTGTTTACTCTGTTGATGGTTTCTTTTGCTGTGCAGAAGCTCTTTAGTTTGTCCCACTTGTCAATTTTTGTTTTTGTGGCAATTGCTTTTGGGGACTTAGCCATACATTCTTTGCCAAGGTCAATGTCAATAAGAGTATTTCCTAAATTTTCTTCTAGAGTTTTTACAGTTTGAGGGCTTACAATTAAATCTTTAATCCATCTTTAGTTAATTTTGTATATGGTGAAAAGTAAGGATCTAGTTTCATTCTTCTGAATATGGCTACCCACCACCCTCTATTGAATAGGGAATCCTTTCCCTATTGCTTGTTATTGTTGGCTTTATCAAAGATCAGATGGTTATAAGTGTGCACCTTTATTTATGAGTTTTCTATTCTGTTCCATTGGTCTATGTGTCTGTTTTTGTACCAGTACTGTGCTATTTTTGTTACTGTAGCCTTGCAGTATAGTTTGAAGTTGAGTAATGTGATGTCTCCCAACTTTGTCCTTTTTGCTTAGAATTGCTTTGGCTATTTGGGCTCTTTGTCGGTTCCATATGATTCTTGGAATAGTTTTTTTATAATTCTGTGAAGAATGATGTTGGTAGTTTGATAGGAACAGCATTGAATTGTAGATTGTTTTGGGCAGTATGGCCATTTTAATGATATTGATTCTTCCAATTAATGAGCATGGTATTTTTTCCATTGTTTGTGTCATTTCTGACTTCTTTCAACAGTGGTTTGTAGTTCTCCTTGCACAGGTCTTTCACCTTCTTGGTTAACTGTATTCCTAGGTATTTCATTTTCTTTGTGGCTATCATAAATGAAATTGTGTTCTTGCTTTGACTCTCAGCCCAGACATTATTGGTATATAGAAGTGCTACTGATTTTTGTACACTGATTTTGTATCCTGAAACCTTGTTAAAATCATTTGTAAGTTCTAACAGCCTCTTGGTGAAGTCTTTAGGGTTTTCTAAGTATAGAATCATATTCTCAATAAAGACAGACAGTTTAACTTCTTCTTTTTCTATTTCAATGCCTTTTATTTCCTTCTCTTGCCTGATTTCTCTGGTAACACTATGTTGAATGGGAGTGATGAGAGTGGAATATCTTTGATTTGTTGCAGTTATCGAGGGAAATGGTTTCAGCTTTTGTCCATTCAGTGTGATGTCGGCTGTGGATTTGTCATAGATGGCTCTTATTATTTTAAGATATGTTCCTTCAGTGCCTAGTCTGTTGAGGTTTTTTACCATGATGAGATATTGGGTTTTAACAATGCAAAAAATCCATCCAAAAGATCAATGAAACCAAGAGTTAGTTCTTGAAAAATAAGATTGATAGACTGCTAGCTAGATTAACAAAAAAGATCCAAATAAGTACAATCAGAAATGACAAAGATGGCATTATAATTGATCGCACAGAAATAAAAAAGATAATCAGAGAATATTATAAACAATTCTATGCACACAAATTAGAAAATATACAGAAAATGGATAAATTCCTAGAAATATACAATCTCCCTTGATTGAATCAGAAAGAAATTGAAACCTTGAATGGATCAATATTGAACTCTGAAATTGAATCAGTAGTAAAGAACCTAGCAATGCAAAAAAAAAGGCCTGGACCAGATGGATTCAGAACCAAATTCTACCAGACATAAGAGAAATACTGGTATCAATTCTACTAAAACTATTTAAAAAAAAAAAATTCCAGGAGGATGGACTCTTCCCTAACTCATTGTATGAAGTCAGCATCAGCCTGATACCAAAATCTGGCAGACATGACGATGAAAGAAAACTTCAGGCCAATATCCCTGATGAACATAGATACGAGAATTCTCAATGAAATACTAGCAAATCAAATTCAGCAGCACATTAAACAGTTGATTCACCATGATCATGTAGGCATTATTACTGGGATGCAAGGTGGATTCAACATATGCAAATCAATAAATATGATTCACCACATAAGCAGAATTAAAAGCAAAAACCATAGGATCATCTCAACAGACACAGAAAAAGCTTTCAATAAAATCTATCTACTTTACCTTTGAGACTTTGTCTTCAAGTTCCCACAACATCTGGGTAGAAAGCTTAAGGATTCATCTTGATTTTTGAGATATGCTAGGAAAGACAAAAATATATTGCCAAAGAATTTAATGCTGATATTTGGTGTTCCATATGCATAATATTCATATTCATGGCATTTCCAGTAGAATTGTGAACATAGAATAGGTACTTTCAGCATTATTTTGTCAAAAGCATTGTTTTAATATCAAGAACTCTTGCTATATCAAATAAACATTGCTATTATCAAAATCAAATTATGATTTACATATCTTGGATTTTTTAACTCAAATTGTTTATCATTATTATTCAGAATCTAATCACTTCTCACTAACTTCAGTGATACCATCCCAGTACTAGCCACCATCCTCTTTTTCCTGTGTTATTGCAGTAGCCTGCAAATTGGGGTTCTGGCCTCCTTTCACTTTTCTCAATCACCAGCCCCAGTGATGCTGTCAAATCAATCAACTGCTCAAAATGCTCCGCTGGTTTTTCATTTCACCAGAATAAAAGCCACAACAATTTTAACAGCCTACAGGACTCCACTTGATCAAGCTTTCTATCACCTTGCTCACCTCACCTTCTCTTCTCCTCCTCATAACCCACTCTAGCCATTCTGGCCTTCGGGGTATTCTTAAAACTCATTAGATGTGTTCCCAACCCCTGGGCCTTTGCATTTGCTGTTTCCTCTACCTGAAACTTACTTCCCCCATTTTGTGGGCAGACTGTTTATGTCCCCCAAAATGTATTTGTTGTTATTCTGATCCCCAATGTGATGGCAGGAGGAGATAAGATCATGGAGAGCTAATTAGGTTAAGAGTGTGGAGCCCTCATGAATGGGACCAGCACCCTTACAAAAAGAGACACAATAACTTGCTCTCTCTCTCTCTCTCTCTCTTTCTGTTTCTCTCTCTGTGTCTCTCTGCTTTCCACCATGTGCAGTTACAATAAGAAGACGGAAATTCGCAAACCAAACACTGAATCTACCAATACCTTGATCTTGGACTTTGCAGCCTCTAAAACTGTGAGAAATGAATTGTTGTTTGAACTACCTAGTCTATGATGTTTTTGTTATAGCAGCCCAAACTGACTAAGACACCCCACCTTTGTACATGGCTAACTCCCCTACCCCCTTCAGGTCTTTTATCAAATTTACATTATCAGTGGGGTCTACAAACAAAATACCATTTCAGAATTCCCCATATTCCACCTTGCAGCTTTTGTCTTTGCCATAGAACATACTATATGCTTTATTAAAATAGTCTTTTTTCTTCTGGAGTGTAAACTGGTACATAGTAGGTACACAATAAACATTTGTTGAATGAAAAGCTGAATTAATAGATTGTTTGGACAAGTACTGTGCTAGGTGGTTTGTACATCATTTAATTCTTAAAACAATTCTGACATGGTGATACTATTAACTTGATTGTACTAATGGGGAAATATCAAATAACATTTCAAAATTCACTCAGCTAGTGAAATCTGGAAAGTGACACCGGGGCCTGTGTTCTGGTAGCTTCTTCCCTGTCTTTTGCACTGAGAAGCTGAAGATCAAGGTTGCACTCACAAGCAGGATGACACATGAAACATGGCAGAATGAAGCATGTTTCTGGAGTGATGTGTAAGTCTATGGAACATGACTCACAGAACTCCACAGCGCAGACTAAAGGGAAGCAGATACTTCTCTCCTAGTTTTCATCACTACCTTGCGTAAACCCCAAATGTCTGTCAAATGTCTAAAGTAACACAAATATATATTAATCATCTGAGAAGTATGCAATTTCTAGTATGTGTATGTGCACACTTTATAGTTGCCTACTTAGGAAATAACCATGAGAGAAATACATAAAAGTGATACAAATATATAGTTATCACCTGAGAAGTATGCAGTTTCTAGTATGTATATGTGTGTACTTTATAGTTGCTTCCTTAGGAAATAACCATGAGAGAAATATATAAAGTATATGCATTTTCCCTATGGAACAACATATGACTCTGAGTCTATTCTTTAATACTCATACATTATCTGTGCTTCAATTGACACTTAATGGGGTCTTGCTCCTTGTTGAGGGGAAGATACCACAGACCTTTCCTAAGACAGGAGTGACCCTTTCTTCTGACCTGCTTATAGACAATCTCTTGCCAACAATGTCTAAAGCTGTCTCTGGGAAGGAAGTGTTGGGAGAAGTGGGCAAGGGAGTGAATTCCTTCTCACACTTGATGATACAACACCTTTGGGTCATGTTGGGTCAAGAAAGTGAGCTGAAGAGGCCTATGACATTTCTGACCCTCTTTCATCTCAGAGACCCAGTAGTGATGGTGCCAAGGAATATGAGATGTGCATACATTCTCACATTCAACTGTATATTGATAACCTACTGTATGTTCAGCTGTGGGCTAAGCACAGTGAATATTACACTGCAGCATATAAGATCTGATCGATTCCCTGTGAACTATGCTGTCAAAGGTTATGACTTAGACAAACTTGTCAACTTATGACAGAAATTAAGTGATAATTTGAACATAACTCAGTAACAAACTGTACAACCAAGCCACAATCTGGTAGTAGTCAGAACATCAGATAATTACAGCCTAGAGTTTTTAGAAAAAAGTTTCACAGTGAAGGATTGGTTTCAAAGACAGAAAAGTATGCATATTTGCAAAATGAAGGAGTCAAGTTATTTCAAGTAAGAAATAGTTTAAGATAAAGACGCCAAAGAATAGTATAATTTGATTAGGAGAGAGAAACCATTTGCCTATTAATGGAGAGATGATGTGGACATTTGAATGCAAGAGAAGCTGAGCTACCACATTTATCCCATTAATTAGAAAACTGTCAAGATTCTGTCCTCATCAGAGGCAAAGCCTCATTATCTTTTACTATCATGGGAATTCTGAAATGTGTTCCTAAATGTTTCACTCAAGAAACATTTTCATGTAGATGATAACAGGAATTAACTGGAACACAATAGTGATATCATGTCTCATTCTTATTAAATATATTAATTAAGCATTAATTCATTGCGGAATCTAAAATGTTCTGCCTGTCATAAGTCAAGTATGAACATTATGAAAACCAAGTGGGATTTCCCTTGCTGCCTGTACCTAGGGACTTCTATAGCACATTAAGGGGACATTCATACCAAATCAATGACATCCCAAATTGTTGCTGTGAGACTCATAATT
Source organism: Homo sapiens (assembly GCF_000001405.40). Lineage (NCBI taxonomy): Eukaryota > Metazoa > Chordata > Mammalia > Primates > Hominidae > Homo > Homo sapiens. Next base: position 6,565,500 of record NC_000020.11, on the reverse strand, counting down.
TGAAGCTGATTCTGATGTTTTAAATCTCACTTTTGAAAAATTGAACCAGTTATGGCTCTTCCTTCCTGTCTCACCTGGGGTTACAAAGAGACAATGGCGGGAATATGTTAGAATGAAAATGAAGTGAAACAAGAACAGACATTTATGGCTTTTACTATGTCATAGACATAAAGCACTGCATCATTAACATTTTATTTTATCCTCAGATCACATTGTGCAACTGCTTATAGGGTAGGGTATTACGGTTGGTTCATATGTTTTTTGGCTAAAGGGAACTTCCTTAATGTTTGTAAACATAAAATATTTGTGCTAATCTTCCTGCTTAGTATGTAGAGAATCTTGAAAAATCTACCTCTGATAATGGAGAATCACAAATGGCTGCTAGATCAGTATCTACACTCAATTCTCAATGAAAAGTCATAAAATGTGGAGAATTTGGAAAATTGAGAACATTTACCGAGCGTGGGGAAACCCTGGAATTTGATTTTCTGATCAAATTACAGTTGTGAACCTGTTTTCCTAAGGTTTGCGTCACCCCTAAAACATGAAATTAAGATAGAAAGAAATACATGAAGATTACATACAGTCTCCCAACTTTAGAAGAAAGGTGGCTCCTGGCCTTATGCTTAACTCCCTGAAAGCAGAACCTAAAACATGGATTCCAGTGCATGTGGTTTATTGCAGGGGCATGAGGAGGACGCTGTCAAGAGAAGAGGAATGGGAGAAGCAGGATGGGGCAAGGGAAGGAGTTGAGCCAGACTTAGCCTCAGCCTAATCTCATTGGGAACTCCAAAGTATGAACTGCACCACAGACTTGATCTCACTGTGGGAATGGTCTCTCTTACCCACATGTTGATCAGTCATTGGCTGTCGACTGCAGGGTGAGGGAAAGTCATTTGACCTCCAAGGTAAGGTGTCTTCTATTTGGCAATTTACCATAGAAGAGAGCAGCTCTGAGCCATTAGCAGCCAACATTCATGCAGCTAGGGAAGGATTGCACCAGCCTGGTAAGGTAATCTAAGTTGAGAACCGACAGCATCTATGCCATTCATTATTCTCTAATAGGCAGTGTGGGACGTACTTGATGAGAGCTAGGGATGACTCTTTAGAAAAAGCAACACTTAAAACTGAGCCTTGAAGGATGGATAAAACATTAATGGGCAAAGATCTATTTGGAAAGTTTATCTATCTATCTATCTATCTATCTATCTATCTATCTATCTATCTATCTATCTGGCAGTGAATACTACAGATACTTGAGATGGAATTCTGCTATTTCCAATTCCTCCTGCAGCAATGGCTATCTATCCACCACAAACTTTTCTCCTTTTCCATAGAACACAGTTGTAACAAGGAAGTGGCTGCCCAATCACAGGCCACATTCATTCTTCTGCACACTTCTTGCAGGTGGGTCTGCCTATGAGATGAATTCTCACCAATGGGAAGTAAGTGGCAGTGATGAGTGACATTTCTAAGCCACTTGTTAGAAACGGCTGTGCATCCTCCATGCTGTCTTTGCCATTTCCATAAACTACCCTATGGGATGACAGAACCACACACTGGAGGGAGCCTAGGTTCCCATTCCCTGTGTTGAGAAGAACCATGTGCTAATTAGAACCTCAGATGTGAGCGATTACACATTCTATTAAATTAAAACTTCTACTTGTCATGGCAATATCTTAACTAAGTGTCCTCATTATTACTAAATTAACAAAAATTATTTGCCAGATGAGTCTAGAACACAGTTTCTCTTCTAATGCAATAAGTGTTTTTCTTCTCGTAGTGTCTTAGGTTTTGCTCACTTTTTTTCTGTGTATTTCATATAGCTCTGCTATGGACTGGTCACTTTCTTGCAATAGGATCCAATTTAAGTTGTAGAAAATTCTGTTTCCTATGTAGTTTTTCAAAATTTGCATTAAAAAGAGTGAAATCATCTGTGGTGTGATAAAGAGCCTTTTGCTTTCTCTGATATTCTATGAATTCCTGCTGCCAGCATTAGGTTTAGCGAGGTGTGCATCTCTCTGTTTGTGACAGACTGTAGTTCCTTGTGCTGTCAGGATAGTGGTCTCTACATTCATAACCCAAGTTCTCTAAAAGAAGAAGATATTGAGAGATTGGCATCAGGAGGGAGGGTGTTATCCTCTGGTGTTTTGGCAAGAAATGGTACTTCCTATTTGTGAATTCTACTAAAAATGCATGTCATTTAGATATATGCATTAGGTCCATTATACTTGCAGAGAAAGGAGTAGTTTGAGGACTTGGCTATTTATCAATTTCACACTCAATGTTGCATTTACCATGTTGGCATACAGTGAATATTATCACTGGGTCAGACGTAATACAGAATTTTAAAGTTCTTTTCAAATTAGCAGCAATTTCATCATTATTGTCAGAGAAAACAATGTGACAAATGAGATTGCCTTCAAACTTGGATACAAGCTAAGTAAACTGAAGGCATGAAATAATTTAAAATAGGTTCCAGTGACAGTGACAAATCTTTTATATTTATAAAGCTTGTGAATGATTAAATCATAATGTCAACATGCCCATAATTTTTAAACAGTAGACTATACCTGTAACAATAATTATAGGTATTTAGACACTTGCTCACTCTAATAAAATAACAATTTAATGGAGGCGGCGTCTATTTTCCAGGTTTAGCTCAGATAGAAACTGAGTCAGAACCTATCGTATGACATATCATACTCTTTGGAGATATAATTTTATGTTTTATATTCAATTCTTATGTGAATTTAATATTTCATCCAGAAAGTAATAGGGACAGAGGAAAGAAAGAAATCAAGGAGGCCAGGACAGTCCAGAAAGCAGGAGTATGAAATATGCACAGGAGACTTCATCTAAAATTTTAGACCTAGTCTAAAACGTATCAATAAAATAAGTTACTATTACCAAATATGATTTGGGGGAAAAAAATCCTGTCTTTTAATCTTCCAGGTTAGAAATTCTCCGGCAAACTGATTAGAGTGACCTCTTCTGAAGTTTCAGAAGAAAATTCTTTAACTGGAAGCAGACACTGTATTTTCTCTGTCTCATAAAGGATGTTTTTATAATAAGAATTTGCATTCCACAAGACACTGGAGTTTTGTCACAGTTTCATTTAACCATGAATCACTCCAAACAGGTCATGCTCTCCCCCTCCCGTCCCTGCTTCTCACATAACTATATCTTTAGACCTGTTTAGCTTTGAAAAACATGTTTCCTAACACACAGCTTATCTTTATAAAAGCGTATTTGGGTTCACAGTGTCTGAGAAATGTACCATGACCGCTTTTTGACCCACTGACACAGCTGTAGGTTTTACCATTTTGCTTACTACAATGCCCTGGATAGCATTTCAAATACATAGAGTCATGACCCTTATTGTTTGCCGGATGGGCTGTGAAATGTATGCTAATGTTCATAATAGGATTATACAAGGTTGTTTTATTGTCTGAAATATAATATGAGCATTATACTCTATGCTTCTTCCCCACAATGGGTTTTCCCTTTAACGAGTATTAAGAAGTCTAATTTTGATTAAGTAAATATTACCTTTCAGCTTTACGAATGATGGTTCATCTAGGTACATACTTTAATGGCATTAAGGGTGGAAAACAAGAATTAACCAAATAAACTAAAGTACAAAGAACATACTATAATATAGAACAATGTATGACAACTTATTGTATATACATATTTCATGCTAGAATTGAATGTAATGATTCAACTTAAGTCAAATATGGGACAAAGAAATGTTTGTACGTTATGAAGGTGAGACTTAAAAATACAGAATGCAGGGTGTAACCATGGTGCTACTGTCCTTCAGTCCCTTTGTTTTCTGCTTTATATCTAGCTATTTGGGTATGATCCTATAACTTTTCTTCATGTGGGTTTCTACCGAATATAAATACTGAGTTTGGAATTTGGCTTCAAGTCGTATATTTGGGAGGGAACAGCAGGTCACATAGTGAAGGCATGGGGAGGTGAGATAGATAAGGAATAATGCCAGTAAAGGGCATGTCACAGAGGGGCACGCTGCTGTGAGCAACTGAGTCCGCAGAACAGGGTCTGGAGGCAGGGAACCTAAGGCCGTTTCATGCTGACTTCCTAGGACTAAACTGAAAGTAAAACCCTAACTTTCCATGCCTAAGTAGCAAAAGGACCAGAGGCAAACCCTTTGCAAACTCCCACCTGTTCCTCATGGGCAGATAGGAAATTGAAAGTACCTCTGATTGGTTGCTTTTTGCAACCAGACGCAAACAGACGTTTGCATAAGACTGTAACTTTGTAACTTCACTTCAGCTTCTGATTGGTTGCTGTCCACAACTAGCCAGATGTTTGTATAGGTGTGTGACCTTTGTAACTTCACTCCAGCCTCTGATTGGTTGCAGTAAGCAACCAATAGGGGGCCACCACTTCATTTATGTGAAGGTGAACATTTATATGAGGTGAACACCAAGTGGCCAATGGGAAACTTCTAGGGTGTATTTGAACCCGAGAAGATTCTGTATCTGGGGCCCTTGAGCTGCTGCTCAAGCCGGGTCCCACACTGAAGAGTATACTTTCATTTTCAATAAATCTCTGCTCTTTCATTGCTTCGTTCTTTCCTTACTTTGCTGTGCATTTTGTCCAATTCTTTGTTCAAAATGCAAGAACCTGGACAACTTGCAGTCAAGACCCTCTACTGGTAACACAACTAGGGCTCAATTTCATTGGGGATTATGTGGGACACTCTGTGGAACATGCCTCAGAATTGACCCAATGAGGAGCAAAGAAAATCAGGTATTTATTCACCAATTACATTTCTTATTGTTTGAGGGCCATTCCTCAGGTATCACGTCTGGTGTGCTGGACAAGCATGCTCAACCTATCAGAGAGAGTTGTCAGGCTGAGAAATGCAGCAGGTCATAGGCATGTCCAGAAACTCTGCAGTGAATTCTGGTGTGGGCAGAGAACCCACAGCCTCTGCTGCACATGTCATGGCCATGGTGTAGCTACATCTTTGCTGTGGTATGCTGGAACCAGAGCTTGGGATCTCAGAGAACCCAGCTTGTATCTGGTTCTACCATTCAGTTATGGTGAATGGTTTTTATATGCCTACAGCTTTAGGCCATACTGTATTAATTTGACCTATTAGGGGTTAGAGATGGAAACTCCATTTTCCTGTCTATAAAACCAACATGAGAGAGTTATTGCATGAATGCCATCTGATAATAGCTGCATGAAAAGCATATAAAATAGTTCCTAGCTCACAATAAACAGCCCACAGATTTTAGGGTCTATCCCCATCCCCCTACTCCTGTCTGTTTCCCTTTTATCAGTAATATTGTCAGTATGTAGTAGACAGTGAATACAATTCGGGGTTAATGTACATCAGGGTTCCCCAGGATCACCCTCAGGATTCCTGAGCTGTTATGCTGACAGTCACAGTTTATTATGGTGAAATAATGTAGATTAAAATCAGCAAAGGAAAAAGACACATAGGGAGGAGCCCAGGAGACACCAGGAACAAGATTCCAGTAGTCCTCCCCCAGTGGAGTCATATAAACAACACTCAATTCTCCCAGCAATGATGTGTGGCAACACTTGTAAAGTGTTGCCAACCCGGGACGTTCACCTGAGCCTTGGTGCTCAGTGCTTTCCTTGGGGGTCAGTCACATAGGCACGAATTGCCCTAGACCTTTGTTCCTTCATGCTCCAGACCCCACAGGCCACAGTGATTTGGTATAGACCAAAGCTCCAGGAGTTATAGGTAATAACTTAAATGATCAGACAGCAATTGAGGGTCTTTAAAGGGTGGCTTAAGTAAAAGAGGGATAAAAAATTGAAGGAGAAAAGAATCTGCCCTGTGTAAAAAAAAACAAACAAACAAACAAACAAAAAAAAAACACAAAAAACTGGCAATGATATTTTTCACAATAAGCAGGAATTTTATTTAGTGAAAGACCCATTCTTTATTCAAGAATGTTTAATTTCTGAAGCTCCAAACCAACACAGTTCTAAGATAGAAGGATCATGAGAGCAGGATCTAACATCATGGTGTCATCAGGGTAAATGCACAAAAAATCAAGAGGCACAGTGATTTCCAGAGAAAGTAATTATTGGGAGGTTTAATGTTTTTCCCCTTAAATTGTGTTGAGCCAACACAAAGCTCTAGGGTAGCACTCCCCAATAAAAATAAAACTCAGGCCACAAATGTGAGCCAAATATATGATTTCAAATTTTCTATTTTTAAAATTTTCTATTTTTAAACAAAAAGTAAGAGATAGGTAATATTGATGTTAACAGCATATTTTATCAACCCAATATGTCCAAAATAAATTACATAACTAGAACAAAATTGTTAAGAGATACTTTACATTCTTATTTTAACACTGAGTCTTTGACATCCGTTTTGTATTTATCTACAGCACATTGTAATTTAGACAAGTCACGTTTCAATTGAACAGTGACTTTCATATTGCACAGAGCAGCTCTGGAAAATAATCATCCTTTTCTCCTATAATCAGTGGGGCTGGTAAGGGCCTCCCATCTGTGCATACTTTACTAAACACTGTCAAATATTGGGTAGAACATAGACTTTAAAAACTCTAATAATACTATTTGACAGCACCATTCTCTTTCCCTTAATTATGCTTGCTGAACATTTTATCAATTTTTTTCAAATATAATGTCTTGAATATATAGTAACATATTAAGCATTTCAATGATAGATTATTATTCCCACATCAAATATTAGGAAATGGTTTCAGAGAAGTTGGGTAACCTGCTCAAAGTCTCAGGGATAGAAGGGGCAAAAACATCAAAACTGCAGTCTGTTTTTCATCTGAGCTTTCCCATGCATCACCCCAAATAATATGGGGCAAAAAGAGTAATGGCTTGTAGCCAAGGTGAACCATGAGACCTAAAGTGACTCAGAAAGGCCTGGCCATAAGGGGGCAGAGCTATAAGCCTTTCAGAGCTCTCTCCTCCAAAGGGAAAAGAATGAAAGTCCTTGGAAAGATTTGCAATTCCATTTGGGGCTTAGATCTTATGATAAGATGTAAGGCCATCACCTTACACTGGTGAAGAATGAAACTATTATTTACAAGTCATTTACAAACACATTTCGATTCATGAAGTCGCATTTCATGTTAATTCCTGGGAACTTCAACCAAGTCTCCAATCATTTTAGGGAGTTGCACTGCTGGAACCCAGAGCATCTCTTGAATCAGTCTAGTGTTTCCAGATATTTAAGGGCAACAAGCCCATGGATTTTTTTTCACCCTTTACCAACCTGGAGTTCTGAAGCAAACTACTGAGGAAAGTAACTAGGTCATAGTCTTTGACCCTTGAAAAGCACAAGCAATTGGTTGACTTCTTTGTCAATCTAGAGTTAATAACTCAATCCCCCACTAACTTACTCACATCCTATTGGTCCCAGGAGGACCTTAGTCACTCCTGGGTCCACTCTGCTGACTTCCTTATCTAATCAATGTTCCATAAGGCTAGTACTTTAGATGCATACTGGCATAATATTTGATTGCAACCCAGCATTAATCAAAAGTTCCACTGAGAAATAATGATACATAAACAGGATAGGCTAATGGAGACAGTAACTGCTCAGTCTGTTATGTTAGCAGTTTTCAACTTTGACTGTACATTGAAATCACCTAGGAAGCTTTAAAAAAAATGCCTGGGCTTCCAGCAGAGACCATGATTTAACTGGTCTAGGATGTGGTGTGGGTATCATGATTTTTAAAGCTTCCCTGGTGATTCTTAGGTACAGCCAGGGTTGAGAATCACTGCTCTGTAGTCTCTAAACATTATCCCTTAGTTAGCAGTGTAAGCCTAAGCAACGTAAATGGACCATATTTGCTAAGATTCACATAAAAATTCCTTTAAAGAATAAATGTAATGTTATGCTGTTGGTTTTAATGGAAAGTAAATACAAACATCCAAACAATATTTCCACTGTGAGTTTTTGGAACATATTTAAGATGTGAAGTAACACCCATGATATTTTTCTTCCAGACAAATGGTTATACTTTGTTATTCAGATGAGATAAAAGGAGCTTTTCATTCCAGGTACCTGAAATGCCTATACTTTTAATTCTAGCAATTTTTTCCTCTTTAGAAAAAAGTTGTCTTTGCCATATGTTGTATTCAAATTTATAAGTTACATCCACTTATTTTTGGAAGTGGATGGAGTATAATAAATAATTGACTTATCATAGATATCATTTATTAATTTTCCCCATCCATTTTTCTTCCTGACCTTTACTGTAACTATGTTTCCGTTACATTTTCTCTATTGAGAAGGTCACAAGGAGGGGCCCTAGTCTTAGTCCTCAGTCCTTAGTCAGCATGCCACGCTTTATATTGTTTTCTCTTTATCTTTCCTCCACCCATTAGAGTTTAACTGTCCTGGATGTCAATTTCCTCCCTAATACACTAAACAACTCAGAGTCAGAGTGTATCTGGGATATATATCATGAGGTTGGTGCAAATATTATATCCATTTTATAGCTGAGTAAACTGACAGTGAGATTAAGTTACTTGCCTAAGGTGCTGTAGTAAAGAGATGAGAGAACCAGGAGGTAAACCCAGAAAGCTTGACTTCCGAGCCTGTAGCCACAACAGCATCACTAACAATCCAAGGCTATTTTAAAAGGGGGCGCTTTAAAAACAAGGATCAGTGATTTGATTCTACCCCAGGAAACCTTTGGATAGCTCCTGGGATCCATATCTGCAGAAGAAAAGAAAGCAGGATTGGGCAGAAACAGAAATTGAGCTGCCATGAGGTTCCAACAGAGGTCTCAGCCTTTGGGGATCTCAGGAGCTTAAGTAGCCCTTTAGTTGGGGTGATGGGCCCGGGCCTTTATGTCCCCACAGTGATCAGTGACTGGGTGCAGGCTGTCCTTGGCAGGAGATCTGACCTAAGGGGCATCTTCCGTAGCCTTTCCACAGATGGGGAATAAGTTCTCAATTCCTGAATGGAGATTTGGGTGAACATCACAGCATTCACCAGAGAGTTGTTCTAAGGTGACCACAGTCCAGTGATTAGCCTAGAGACACTTGCTCAATAAGATAAAGCCATGTAACAGCACTTATAACAGGATAGAGCGTTCCTTTTTGTTATTGTTAGTAAGCTTGGTAGCAGTGATTAGGAGTGCCCGGCCATGATGAGCCCACAGGGAAAATATAATACCCTGTGACCTGATCATGCCCACAGGCTGAAGGGCCCTCATGAAACACCTGCTACTAAACCATAGTCCACCTATTTAACTATTATTGATTTAGCCTCTCCCTAAATAATATTGAACTATTCAAATAGATGACATGATTCGAATGAACAGTAAAATTAAAGATGTATACATACTAGCAAATATTTAAGGAAGGAATTATACCAATACTCTACAATCTCTTTCAGAAGATTATAAGCAGAGAGAAAACTTCCTCATTCTATGAAGCCACCATTATCTTAACACCAAAACCAGACAAATATTACAAGAAAAGAAAACTATAGGCTGATAACTCTTATGAACATAGATGGAAAAATCCTAAACAAAATATTACCAAGTGAAATCCAATAATGTATAATGAGAATTATACACAACGACCAAGTGGGAATTATTTCATGTGTGCAAGCTGGTTGAACATTCAAAAATCAGCTAATATAATCCATCACATCAATAGGCTAAAAAATCACATGATTATATAAATAGCCACAGAAATGGCATTTGACAAAATTCAATACCAATTTATGATAAAATCTCTCAGTAAACTAGGAAAAGTGGGAACTTCCTCAACTTGATAAAGAATATCCACAAAAAAACCTTACAGCCAACATTAAATTTAATGTTAAGATACTAGAAACTTTACCACTAAGATCAGGAACAAGACAAGGATATCCCCTCTCACCACTCCTTTTCAATGTTGTACTGGAAGTTCTCCCTAATGCAGAAGGACAAAATAAGGAAATAAGAAGTGTACCAGTTGGGAAGGAAGAAATAAAACTATCTTTGTTCACAAATGGCATTATTGTTCTATGTAGAAAATCCAAAAGAATCAAAATATAAATTTTAAAACTAATAAGTGATTATAGCAAAGTTGCAGGATACAAGGTTAATATACAAAAGCCAATTGCTTTCCTAAATACCAGCAATTAACAAGTGGAATTTTAAATTAAAAACATAATACCACTTACATTAGCATCCCAATAAATAAAATACTGACATACAAATTTAATAAAATATGTGTAAGATCTACATGAGGAAAACTACAAACGCTGATGGAAAATAAAATCAAAGAACTATATAACTGGAGAGATATTCCATGTTCATGAATAGGAAAACCTCAATCTAAAGTTTATACAGACAGGCAAAAGACCCAGAATAGCCAACACAATACTGAAGAAGAGCAAAGCTGGAGGACTGACATTACCCAACTTCAAGACTTACTAGAAAGCTGCAGTAATCAAGACAGTGAGATATTGTTGAAAGAATAGCCAAATAGATCAGTAGAACACAATAGAGATCCAAGAAATAGACCCACATAAATATAGTCAATTGATCTTTGACAAAGGGGCAGAGACAATAAGATGGAGGAAAGACAGTCTTTTCAACAAATGCTGCTGACATAACTAGACATCCATGTGCAAAACACATATGAATCTATATACAGGCCTTACACCCTTCACAAAATTAACTCAAAATGCATCATAGACCTCAATGCAAAACACAAAAATATAAAAGTAGAAGATAACATAGGATAAAATCTAAATGATCTTGCATATGGAGATGACCTTTTGATAGAACATCAAAGGCATGATCCATGAAGGAATAATTGATAAGCTAAATTTAATTAAAATGGATACCTACTGCTCTGAAAAGACAATGTTAGAAGAATGAGAAAACAAGCCACAAACTGGGAGGAAATATTTGTAAAAGACACATATGATAAATGACAGTAGACCAAAATATACAAAGAACTCCTTAAACTCAACAATAAGAAAACAACAATTAAAAAATGAGCCAAAGACCTTACCAAACACCTCACCAAAGAAGATATACAGATGGCAAATAGGAATATGAAAAAAATCCTCTGTATCATATGTCATCAGGAAAATGCAAATAAAAATAAGATATGACTGAACACTCATTAGAATAGCCAAAATCCAGAACACTAACACTAAATGCCAGTAACGGCATGTAGCAGCAGGAATTCCCATTCACTTCTGGTGGGAATGAAAAATGGTACAGCCACTATGGAAGATAGTTTGGCAGTTTCTTACAAAACTAAACATACTCTTACTATATGATCCAGCAATCATGCTCCTTATTGTCTACTTACAGGAGTTGAAAACTTATGTCTATGCACACATATGTTTATAGAAGCTTTATTCATAATTGTCAAAACATTGGTTTTGGAAACAATCAAGATATCCTTCAGTAGGTGAATGGATAAATAAACTATGGTAAATACAGACAACAGACTATCATTTGGCGCTAAAGAAAAATGAGCTACGAAGCCATGAAAAGACATGGAGGAAACTTACATGCATATTAATAAGTGAAAGAAGCCAATATTAAGACAACATACTGCATGATTCTAACTACATGACATTCTGAAAAAGGCAAAACTAAGCAAACAGTAAAAAGATCAGTAGTTGCTAGAGGGTGGGGGGTGGGGAGAGGGATGAATAGGCAGAGTACAGATTTTTAGGGCAGTGAAAATACTCCATATGTATCCACTACAATGGTGGATACATGTCATTATACATCTGTCCAAACCCATAGAATCCACAATACCAAAAGTCAACCCTAATATAAACTATGGACTTTGGGTGATTATAATGTGTCAATGTAATAAATATACTACACTGGTGGGAATGTTGGTAATGGAGGAAACCGTGCAAGTGTGGGGGCAGGGGATATATGAGAAATCTCTATAGCTTCCCCTCAGTTTTGCTGTGTACCTGAAACTGCTCTTTAAAAAGTCTATCCTACAACTAACAGCAATATGTGTATATGTATAACATATTGCTGCTAGCTGTAGATTTTCTATATGCACACACATACACAAACATATACTGTTTTTTCACTATCAGCTCTCAATTAGTCATACCAATGAGCTATAAATTGATACAGTGTGTGCTTTGGAGGTTCAACCTCAGGTTACATGTCCCAGCTTCCCCACTCCCTTTTGTACAAAAGGACGTAACAAGTTCTCCTGATATTTGAAATAGCAGTTTAAAGATGAAATACAATTTTACTCAAATATTTATTTTTCCTATTTTCCAGAGATATTTTAAATATCTGGCCTTTTTGCAGGGAGAGAAATAAGAGTTCCATCTAACAGAGCAGAATTTTGTAAACAGACATTTCATGTTTGGTGAAAGCAGGTCTGGGGATCCTGGAAGACAATATCCCAGTGGACATGAATCTGTTTACTGTTTGTTCAAATGAAGTTGGTTATAGGCTGCTCATTGCTTCTGGACACAAAAGTCAAAAAATGAGCCAAAGACCAAATAATTGCTATTTTACAGTGGTGGCTTCACCAAGTTGTTGCCCCTTTCTGTTTCTTTCACATGCATATTGATTTCATTAATAGTCAGTTATTACGGTAATGAGCTTAAGCTTGTAAAGAGAGCAACTAGATTCCACCACTCCAGGGCACGTGATTCATTATTTTTATACAGCTTTGTTGAGGTATAATTGACACACAGTAAGTTACCCATATTTTAAATATGCAATTGAAAAGTTTTGATATATATACATATAGTCACACATCATTTAACAACAAGGATACATTCTGAGAAAAGCATCCTTAGGCAATTTCATCACTGTGTGAACATACTTACATAAACCTAGATGGTATAGCCTACTACGCACCTATGCTATATATTATAGCCTGTTGCTCATTGGCTACAAACCTGTATAGCATGTTACTGCACTAACTAGTGTAAGGAAATAGTAACATAATGGTAAGTATTTGTGCAATAGAAATTTTTTGGCTCCATTATAATCTTATGAGACAGATGTCATATATGTAGTCTGTCATTGACCAAAAGTTATTATGTGGCACATGACTGTATTTGTAAAACTATCAGTACAATCAACATGGTGAACACACACATTACTCTCAGAAGTTTCCTTGTGCCATTTTGCAATCTTTCCATCCTGTCCTTCCACCATCATATGATATATACTCTTGTTTGGTTTCTTTTACTTTGAGCTTTATACGTGTGTTATGTGTCTCAGTAGTTCATTCCCTTTTATTTCTGTAGGATTACATTGTATGGATATACTAAGATTTGTGTACCTATTCACCTCTTGATGGACACTTGTGTTGTTTCCAATTTTTCGTAATCACAAATAAACCTGCTCTGAACATTTATTTTAAAACGTCTGTATAAATATAGGCTTTCCTTTCCCTTGGATAAATGTCATGGAGTGGAATGGTTAGATCATATGGTAGGCATATTTTCAACACTTGTTTGTCACTTGTTTGGAAGCAGCTTACAACCACCACCTTTATCTTTAGAATAATTGGTCCATTCCATTTTGCTTTCTGAGTGGCACTTTTCTACCCTCTGATTACCTTTCTTAGAAGAAAGAGTCGAATAAGGAGTTGTTTCTACTTACTAACTACCTCGTAGTAAATCTGTTTTCCTGTGGAAAACTCGAGATGTCTCCTTTGTAGTGAGCTGTAAATGCAGAGGCATCTGTGAGTTGGAAGTGTTCAACATTTTACTTTCCTGTTTTCAGGTTCCATATTCCTTGGAAGACTAATGACATTTTCTCCTCTTACTAATATTTGTTAAATTTTTATTTAAATTTTACTTTCCTCCTTCATAGCATTTTACCCCTGATATCTGAATAAAACAGAAAGGTATTAAAAAAGAAGACTGGGCAATATTTAAAATGCCTTCTTTAAATAAGCAAGGATTAGGCAGAGAGTGACCTAACGTCATCCCAGGTGTTCATACTTGCTTACTGATTAGAAAGGAACTGTACAAGACGTCATAACTCTAGAAGATGTGGTATCTGTGCTGTATACCCAGATATACCTCCAACCACCAGATGATGGGAACAGCACAGGTGCAGCTCCAAGCACAGAAGACAGCTCCTCTATTGGTCCACGCAGCAGGACATCCTACTCTGTGGGTAGGACTGACTCAAAGTTATTTCAGGCAGAAAGGGCGGATGGAAAATAAAATGAAGCCAATGCAGGGATATGTTTGTAACTAGGAAAGAATATGATCATCTAGGAGACTGTGTCCAGATCATGGTCAAAACACTGATGACCACCAGCAGAAGTTATCACTCAAGGGAACAGGGCTTAAGGGCAAATTATATAGTGCAGAACTTGCAGGATATTTTTATACAAATTAAATCAAGTTAAAATCAACAATGATTATCTTCACATGAAAAAAAAAAGAGTAATGTAAAATTAGCCTCAGAGATGCCTTTTACCTGGTACTATGGAAAAAGTACGCCTGCTTCTAACCATGAATTAAACACTTTATCTGCTCTCTCGATCTCATCCTATTCCTCCACGATCTATTTTCTTTTTTTAAGCAGATTGGAGATGTAATTAAATACTATAAAATTCATTAATTTAAACCACACAATGAAATGTTTTTAGTATATTCACAGAGTTGTGCAAATATCAGCACAATACAATTTTGGAACATTTCATATTAAAAAAAAAAAAAAAACATGTCCACTGGCAATCACTCCCCATATCTTTTTCGCCTAGCCTCTGGCAACAACTAATCTACTTTCTGTCTCTATGGATTTGCCTATTCTCGGTCTTTATATTAATGGAATCACACAATATATGGTGTTTTGTGAAGGGCTTCAAGCTTACGTAAGCTTGAAAGCTTACATAACGCTTTCAAGATTCATGTTCATGTTGTGTCATGTCAGTACTTCATTACTTTTTATTGATGAATGATATTTCGTTATATGAATATACCATATTTTGTTTATCCGTTCATCAGTTGATAGACAATTGGGTTATTTCCACATTCTGGCTACCAGGAATACTACCGCTTTGAACACTTGTGTATAGGTTTTTGTATAGAAGTATTTTTTTTTCTCTCAAGCATATACTTAGGAATGGAATTGCTGGGTTATATCGTAACTCTGGGAAATGCCAAACTGTTTTAAAGCGTGACTGCACCATATTACATTCCCACCAGCAATGGATAATCGTTTCAATCTCTCTATATTCTTTCTGACACCTATTATTTTCTATCTTTTCTTATTCTAGCTATGCTAATGGGTTCAAAGTGGGATCTCTTTGTGGGTTTGATTTGCATTTTTCTGATGACTAATGATGTTGAGCATCTTTTTATGTTTTTATTAGTCATTTGTATATCTTATTTTTAGTAATGCCTATTCAAATTGTTTACCTATTTTTAACTTACTTTTCATTATTGAATTGTAAGAGCTCTCCATATATGCTAGGTACATGTCTCTTTTTACAAATTTGACTTGCAAATTTTTTTTCCATTCAGTGGTGGTCTTTTCACTTTCTTGATTGTATTATTTGCAGCACAAAAGATTTTAATTATGATAAAGTACAATTAACCTATTTTTTATTTTGTCATTTGTGTTTTTGGTGTTACATCTAAAAAATCATTGCCTGAATCAAGGCCACAAATATTTATTCCAAGCCTTCTTCTAAGAATTTATAGTTCACACTCTCAGATTAGGTCTATGATTGATTTTGAGTTAAATTTTCATATTTTGTGAGGTAGGAACACAGCCTCATGATTTTTACATGTGGATATACAATTCTCCCATGACTGCTCGTTGAAAAACTGTTCTTTTTTCATTGAATTGCCTTGCTATCTTTGTTTAAAAGTCAGTTGAGCACAAATAATAAGGGTTTATTTGTAAACCCTCGATTCTATTCCATTTAGATAGATAAGACAGACAGACAGATAGATGATAGAGAGAGAGAGAGAGAGAGAGAGAGAGAGAGATATCCTTAAGCTAGTACATGCTGTCTCAATTGCTATGGCTTTGTTTTGAAATTTGGAATTTTGAGACCTTCAATTTTGTTTTTCTAGGATTAGTTTGGCTATTCTAGATTTCTTGCATTTCCATTTGAATTTTACAATCAGTTTGTCAATTTTTGGGAAAAGCAAACTGGGATTCTCTCTTTTATAAGAAAGCCTATTAGGATTGTTGTATTCAGTCTCTCAATTACTTTAATGAATATTGCCATCTTAAAAATATTAAGTCTTCTAATATGTGAACACAAGATGTCTTTACATTTCATTGGCTCTTCTTTAATTTTTCAGCTATATTTTGTAATTTTCAGCACACAAGTTTTTAATCTTTTGCCAGATCTATTTCTTTTGAACATTACAGCATTGAAAAAATTGTATTTCATTCAATGCTATAATATTTCAATATCATAAATGGAATTGTTTTCTTAATATTAATTTTGGATTCTTCATTACTAAAGAAATAAAATTGATTTTTGTGTATTAATATTGCATCCTGAAACTCTGCTGAACTCACTTATGAGTTCTAATAGTATTTTAGTCAATTCCATATGATTTTCTGTGTACAAAATCATGTCAACTGCAAATAGACATTCTTTTTCAATTTGGATGCCTTTTTTTTCTCTTTCCTAATTAACCTAGCTAGAAATTCCAATATGATGTTAATAGACATGGTAAGAATAAATGTCCTTGTTCTGTTCTGATCTTGGGGGAAAACATTTAGTCATTCACCATCAAATATAATATAATCTATGGGGTTTTTGTAGACACCCTTTGTAAGGCTAGATAGTTCCATTTTAACTTTAGTTCTTTGAGTTTTTTTTTAATCATGAATAAGTTTTGCCTTGTGTCAGATTTCGTTTTTACATCTATTGAGATGATCATGTGATTTTTGTCCCTTATTCTATTAATATAATGTGCATATTAGTTGGTTTTCAGATGCAACCATTACCTTGCATTCCTAGGAGAAATCCTTCTTTGTCATGGTGTATAATGCATTTTATATATTGTTGGATTTCGCTTGCCAGTATTTGGTTGAGGATTTTCTGTATTTATCTTCATAAGAAATATTAAGTTACAGTTTTCTTTTCTTGTAATATCTTTGTCTGGCTTTAATATCAGGGTAATAGTGGCCTTATGAGTTGGAAAGTGCTCCCATTTCTTCTATATTTTGAAAAAGCTTGTGAAGTATTGGTTTTTATTCTTTGGATGCTTAGTAGAATTCCCCAGTGATGCCAACTGGTGAATTTGGATTTTTTTTGTAGAAAGTGTTTTTTAAATTTAATAATCCAACTTTTTATACATAAATTCAGATTTTCTATTTCTTCTTCAGTCAGTTTTGATAGTTTGTATCTTTCTAAAAATTTGTCCATTTGATCTCAATTACTTAATTTGTTGGCATAGAATTGCCTATAGATTTCTTGACAATCCTTTTTATTTCTGTAAGGTCAGTAGTGTTGTGTCCCCTCTTATTCCTGACTTTAGTAATTTGAGTCTTCTCTTATTTATTTGTCGGTCTAAAGAAAGATTTGTTAAATTTGTTGATCTTTTGAAAGAATTAATTTTTTTTCCATTTTTTTTTCTGTTGTCTAATTGTTCTCTAGTCTTTATTGTTTCCTTTTTTGCTAGCTCTGGGTTTAATTTGTTCTTCTTTTTCTAGTTTCTTAAGGTGGAAGATGAAGTTATTGACTTTTTAAAATATTTGCATTTATACCCATAACTTTCCATCTGAGTTCCTCTTAACTGTATACCATACATTTTGGTATATTGAGGTTTTGTTTTTATTTATGTCAATTTTTAAAATTTATCTTGGATTTTCTTCTTTGACACATTAGTTATTTAGGGGTGTGTTGTTTAATTTTCATATATGTGTACATTTCCTGAATTTCCTTCTCTTATTGATTTCTAATTTAATTCCTGTGTGGTCAGAAAATGTATTTGGTATGATTCTAATCTTCAATCTATTGATATCTGTTTTATGGCTGATCACATGGTCTATTGTAGAGAATGTTCCACATGTGCTCTAGAAGACTATGTATTCTGCTGCATTTAAGTAGAGTGTTCTACAGATATCTGTTGGGTCTAGTTACAATGTTATTCAAATTGTTTATACTCTGTTGATCTTTTGCTTACTTGTTCTGTCCATTATTGAAAGTGGGTTATTGAAATCTCCAGCTGTTACTGTTGAATTGCCTATTTTTTCCTTCAGTTCTGTCAGTTTTTGCTTTATGTATTTGGGGGCCCTGTTGTTAGATGCATAAATGTACGTAATTGTTATATCTTCAAGATGAATTACCCTTGTATCATTGTAATGTGTCTGTATTAGTCTGTTTTCATGCTGCTGATAAAGACATACCCAAGACTGGGAAGAAAAAGAGGTTTAATTGGACTTACAGTTCCACATGGCTGGGAAGGCCTCAGAATTATGGCGGGAGGCAAAAGGCACTTTTTACATGGTGGCAGCAAGAGAAAATGAGGCAGATGCAAAAGCAGAAACCCCTGATAAAACCATCAGATCTCGTGAGACTTATTCACTACCATGAGAACAGTATGGGGGAAACCGCCCCCATGATTCAAATTATTTCCCACTGGGTCCCTCCCACAGTACATGGGAATTATAGAAGTACAATTCAAGATGAGATTTGGGTGGAGACACAGCCAAACCATACCAGTGTCCCTCTTTATTTCTAGGAACATTTTTGTTTTATTATCTATTTTATCTGATATAAATTACCAGGCTAACAATCATTCACTCCATGTATCTTATAGTTGTTGTTTGAATAATGTAACTTTTTTCATTTTACTTTTAAGCTATTTTTAATCTACAGTGTGCTTCTTACAGATAGCATACAGTTGGATCCTGTTTATTATTTTTTAATCCAGTCTAAATATCTGCCTTTGATTGGAAGTTGAATCCATTTACATTTAATATTATCATTACATACTTGGATTTTATCACCATTTTACATTTTCTCTATATGTGTCATTTATATTTTTTTACTCGATTTTCCCCCAGCTTTATTGAGGCATAACTGATATATATAGAAAATTGCACATATTTAACATAAACAATTTGATGAGTTTGAACATATGAATACACTTATGATAATATCACTACAATCAAGGTAATAAACATATTCATCACCTCCAAAAGTTTTCTTGTGACCATTTGCTTTTATAAATGCATAATACGATATTGTTAATTATAGGCACTACTATAAATTTATACCTATTGAACAACTCCCCATTTCCACCTCTCCCATCCTCTGTCAGCCACCATTCAATTTTTTACTTCTATAAGTTTGATTTTTTTGATGCCTTATAAGTGGAATCATGCAGTATTTATCCTTCTGTGATAGGCTTATTTAACTTAGCATAACGTTTTCAAAAAATATCAATATTATCACAAATGGTAAGATTTCTTTCTTTTTAAAGCTGAATAATGTTCTATCGTATGTATATACAGTTGACCCTTGAACAACATAGGTTTGGACTGCACAAGTTCATTTATAAGTGGATTTTTTTCAACCAAATGAGGATCCAAAATATGGTAATTATGTAATCTAAAGCCTGTTTATATGAAAGGCCTACTTTTCATATACATGAGTTCCACAGGATGGAATACAAAACTCATATACATGAGTTCCACAGGATGCATAGATTTTGGTATCCTTTCTTTTTAACACATTTATTAAGATATAATTCACAGGTATGTAAATTTTTTCACATACTCTGATTTAGAGTGTAAAGTTCAAATGTTTTAATATATTCACTGAATTGTATAATCACTACACAATTAGCATCATCTAATTAGCAGTAAATCCATTTATTCCCTCCCCAGACCTTCACAACCATTAATCTACTTTCTGTCCTTATATATTTTCCTATTCTAGACATCTCATATAAATGAAATCACATAATAGGTGGTCTCTTGTAGCTGACTTCTTTCACTGAGAATAATCTTTTCAAAGTCTATCCAAAAACATTCAGTGGAGAAAGGACAGCCTTCAACAAATAATCATAAGAAAAATGAATATCAACATACAAAATAATGAAATTTGACCCTTATATCATCTACAGGAGTTTATGAATAATGGATTAAAGACCTAAATGTAAGACTTCAAACTCTGAAACTCTTAGAAAAAATCACAGTAGGAAAATGTTATAACATTGCATTTGGCAGTGACTTCTTGCATAAGATACCAAAAGCACATGTAGGAAAAGTAAAAATAGATAAATTGGGCTACATCAAAATTTAAAATGTCTGCATCAAAGGACATAATCAGTAGAATGAAAAGGCAACCTATAGAATGGGAGAAAATATCCATTCTGCAGAAAATTTGCAAATCATATATCAGATAAGGGGTTAATATGCAGAATATATAAAGAACTCTTGTAACTGACTACCTCCAAAAAAACCAATAAAAATCCCAAAATGAACAAATAACAAAACCCAAAACAATCTGATTTTTTAAATGTGAAAAGATCTTGAATAGCTATTTACCTAAAGATGGTACACAAACAGCCAACAAACATGTGAAAGGATACTCAACATCACTAATCACTAGGGAAATACAAATCAAAGCCACAAGGAGATATCACCTTATACCCATGAGAATTGCTACTATATAATATATATTGTATATATATTACATATATAAAATATAATTGTATTATATTATACACATATATTTTAAAATGAGAAAACAATTGTTGATGAGGATCTGGGGAACTGGAGGCCTTGCGCACTGTTGGTGGGAATGTAAAATTGTGCAACCATTATGGAAAACTGTATGGCAGTTTCTCAAAAAAATAAAAATAGAATTACTATATGATCCAGTATTTACACTTCTGTAAATTGAAAAGAATTGAAAGCAGGGTCTTGAAGTGATATTTGCACACCCATGTCCATAGCAGCATTATTTATAATAGCCAAAAATAGGAAGTAACCCAAATGCCCATTTACTAATGAATGGATAAACAAAATGTGGAACATACAAACAACAGAATATTATTCAGCATTAAAAAACGAAGAAAAGTCTGACACATGCTATGACAGGACAAACCTTGAGGACATATGCTGAATGAAATAAGCCAGTCACACACACACACACACACACACACAATACTGTGTGATTCTACTTATATTAGGCATGTAGTGTAGTCAATTTCATAGAAACAGAAAGTAGAATAGTGCTTGTCAAGGGCTCAGGGAGGGGGAATGAGAAGTTGCTGTTTAATGGGTGTAGAGTTTCAGTTTTCCAAGATGAAAAAGTTTTGAAAGTTGGTTGCATAACAATATGGATGTACCTTACATTACTGAACTATATACTTAAAAATAGTTGATATAGTAAATTTTATGTTATATGTATTTTACCACAATTAAAAAATTAGAAAGGAAGCAAGCTACGCAGAACAGGCTATGAGGTAACTGTTGTGGAAATAGAAACCATCCTATCAAGGGAACATGATTCTGTACATGTAAAGCTGAAAATATTGTCACCTGTCAAAGATAGGAGATCCAATGTTCAGCACCAAAAAAAGGTGGGGTTGGGGGAGGTTCTCTATAGAAATTGAATGGATCATATGGGAAGAACTTGAGCTTTTATTATGAATGTTGGTGCTCCAGTGAAAAAAAAATCCCTTAACACACTTACTCTGCCATTTGGGTTACTGGGGGCTTGAGAGGTGGCTTATCCCACCCGCTCATGTCACGATAGAACCACACTGTTGACGCACTATATAGATGTACATAATACAGGCAGCCCTTGGTATCTATGGGTTCCACATCTGTGGATTTAACCCACCACAGATGGAAAATGTTCCAAAAAGCTTGCATCTAGACTGAACATATGTAGACTTTTTTCCTTGTCATTATTCCCTAAACAATTCAGTAAAACAACTATTTATATAGCATTTACATGGTATTCAGTATTATAAGTAATCTGGACATTATTTAACATATACAGGAGGGTTTGCAGAGGTTATATGCAAATACTAAACCATTTATATATGGTCTTGAGCATAAGTAGATTACAGTGTCCACAGGAAGTCTTGGAACCAATCCCCCACAGACATTGGGGAATGACTGTAGTCCCTTGCAGCCTTGCCACTCATGGAAGAGGTACATTGGAAACAGATCTACCTATGTAGCAGGAAACTTACATCCACAGCCTGGAATCATAAATCTAGACTTTCATTCTCTCAATGAATAGACATAAAATCAACATCACAAATAAGGACTACAAAGACAAATACACAGAAAGTCCAACCCGGGAAGCTGAGATGTTACTCCAAGAACAAAGGAGAATTTATCAGCAGCAACATTTGAATTTATAATGACAGATAGTTCATTCATAAAATAAGAACAAAATGCTATGAAGAAATGAAGAGCAATAAAAATGCTTAGGATTTTAAAACATAGAAATAATAGAAGAACTTGAAGATAAAGTTGAGGAAATTTCAAAGCACATAGAGAAAAATAAAAATGGAAATTATGAATGAAAAGAAATGAGATATATAGGTCCAATGGCCAATTAACGAGTACCATAGAGACAGGTCAGAGAAACTGGCACATAAAAACTTTTTCTTCCTGTAAGGGAACATGTTTAGGGTCTTCCTTTTATCCCTGGAATTTATACATTTCATCTGGATATTTCTATAACTTTTCATTGTTCTTCAAAGTTACATGGGGGCTATTTTAATTTGAAGATTTAAATATTGCTTTGGTTCCAATAATTTTTCTTCTGTTAATTCCTTGAGTTTCTCTTCTCCTTATTTTTCTCTCTCTTTTTGTTCTCAGATTGAAATTAGATTTTGTTGAGCTATCATTTAACTCTCACTTTTCTAATATATTTCTTCTCCATTTTGTTGGGGAAGATATTCCTCAATTCTATCTTCCAGATGACTAATTCTTACACTACAGTGTTTTGCCTTGTTATTTATCCATTTCCTAAGTTTTTTAGTTTGATAAGGAAGTTTAGGGGATTTTTAGCTTTTCATTTTCAAAAATTCTTTTTAATCTCTACTATTCTTTTTTGGAATCACTATCCTTTCACATTTCTTCAAGTCTTATCTATTTCATGTATTGTGTTTGTTTCCTCCAGATCAGTTGTTTCATTCATTTTATTTTTTTAGTAACAGCTGACTCTAAATAAAACAGATACAATGCATGAAACAGATAAGACTTGAAGAGATGTGAAAAGATGAGTCCATAAAAGGACAGTAAGCTTTGCAAGCCCCAAAGTACATTATCCAAACTATGCTGCATAATTACACATCACAGAGCTTGGGATGAAGTAGATACTCAGTAAATAGTGACAAGGAAACTCATTCAATCTCTTTAAAATATATCAGGCCTTGAATAATCATCTCTCTACATTGACTGAAGTGTGGAGAAAACAGTAACAGGGATGGTTTCTGGATCACGAGATCACAGAAGCATAATAAATTTATAGTTTTAGAAGACAATTTTAACACACCAAGAAACAGCTGTCCTCCCCTTGTTCGATGGGAAAGGATGGACATGGTAAAGACACGTAAGCTCTTGTGTAACTTCTACTGCAGTCCCGTGCACAATGCCCCATTATTTTGTAGCCTCACAGTCTCCAATAGCCATAGGAAACCATAAGCTGAACAGAAAAGGTCTGGAGAAGCTGTTGTTATAAATTTGCAATTCCACTGGGAGTCCACTACCCTGACAGATCAATCAGAGGAAAGACACAGCCAACTTTGAGTTTCTAGCAACTGTTTGGGAAAAAGAGTGTCAATGGAGAAAATGGAAATATTAAACAAAGAGAAAATATGAGCAGCAATGTAAACAGGGAAGAAGAGGTGCACACTAATTGTTGGAGTGCAAATGTGTACTAAAAATTATTTTCACATAAACTAGAATAACCATTTTCTTTACAATGCAGCCAAGTATTCCTCCTTCTGTCTGAAATCCATTTGATCTGTTATATTTTTTTAAAAAGATATTAAATAATAAAAACACCCTCAATTCACTTTTGTGTGTATGTGTTTCAGAAGAAACTCAAATCAATTTGGATCATTTTTGGCTACAAATAACAGAAAACACAAATCATGGTAGCTTAAACAAGATGCAGGTTTATTTCTCTGTCATGTAAAATAAACCCAGGGGTACATCAAGCAATGATTTTCAGAAACCCAAGGATTTTTGCTTATTTGTTTGTCGATCTCTCAGCTTCACCATACTTAACACTGGCTTCCATCAACATCACATGACCATAACCATCACATTTTCACTGTAGTTCTAGTCATCACATCTGTATTCCAGGCAGCAGAAAGGAGAAAGGGAGTTAGGGAAAAACAGGTACGTGTCCCAGTTTTGTCAGCCCCTTCTACAGAACATTTTCCAGAAGTCCTACCAATAGCAATCATTTTAGATTTTGTCACCTGTATCTGCAAGGGAGACTGTGAAATGTAGAATTTCAGTTAAGTACTTTGCCATCCCCAATAATATTAAGATCCTATTAGAAAAAGAAAAAGGGTAGATAAATGGTGTTTAGGCAACTAGCATCCCACCCATCTATACACTATAAAATTAGCCATATAGGTAGAAATAATCCTTATTTGTTGTTACATTATAACTTTTACAAGTTTTATGTGCCAATGTACGTGCCTGGGCCTTTTCTAATAATTTTGTGATCAATTACCATTTAGTGATTAGTCTCTGGCTCAGTGCTTTCACAAATATTATCTCACATACTCTTTAAAGTAACCTTGTAACCTAGATATTATTATCATCAATTTACAAATTAGAACAGAGGTTTAGTGTGATGAAAGATCTTATCCAATGATACAAGGTTAGGAAATACCAGAATTAGGCCCCAATAACAAATCACCTAATTCTAATTTCAAGGCTATTTCCATGATATAACCTCTCCTGGCAGAGTTTATATTTCCTTCTCAGGGTCTGTCTTGTTACAGGGAATTATATAATTTATGCCCGACTATCATCTTATCCACCTGGCTTAGTTTGCTCAAGCTCATTAGCTAAAAAAGAAAGTATTTATCTCTTTTACAAGGCCGGATGCGGTGGCTCACGCCTGTTATCCCAGGACTTTGGGAGGCCGAGGCGAGTGGATCACTTGAGGTCAGGAGTTCTAGACCAGACTGGCCAACATGGTGAAACCCTGTTTCTACCAAAAATATAAAAAATTAGCTGGTGTGGTGGTGCATGCCTGTAATCCCAGCTACTTGGGAGGCCGAGGCAGGAGAATAACTTGAACCTGGGAGGTGAAAGTTGCAATGAGCCAAGATCATGCCACTGCACTTCAGCCTGGGTGACAGAACGAGACTCCATCTCAAAAAAAAGAAAAGAAAAAAGAAAAATGACCAAAATGTCTGTGTATCAAAAATAGTGAAAAATATCTAATCATAGGCAGAACCAAATGTTAAGTTCTATGGCAAAGAGATATGTAGAAAGAAAGCACTTAATTTGTATTGACTTAAATTTCCTATGCAATTGATTTGTTTTTACTAATTTATTCAACATGTATTGCCAGTAAGGTGAATCTCTGTAAAGAAGCAGCCAGCTGTAATGCTGCATGTCTCAAAAGTTACAGATTCATCCTAAATGATAGAGATTGACCTCCTTGCTCTTAAGTACCCAGAAACATCTGAGTACTCAAATTTTGTGAACACAACTTTCTTTGAAGTATTCCAATTTTCAATTTACAAACAAACAAGTAAGAGTCATGAGTATTTCACCTGGTGCAGTTGGTGAAGAGAATTACTCAAAGAAGCATATTAGACGCAGTAGAACCCAAACTCAAAATATCTGTCTCTGAAGTTTTCTCCCAAGTGAATCTAAATTCTAATTACAAGGTGATTTGAACAAGATATGGAAAATAGGAGAGAGATTAAGGGGAAAATAATGGAAGATTGCTAAAGGCTTTGTCTGTTAAGAGATATAATTGATATTAACACTAAGATCAATAGAAAGTCTTAAGTAACTCAGATGAAATGTGTAAGAGAAAAGAAACATATGTATATATAAACCTCAAACACTAAAAAAAATACTCTATCAGTCATATTAAAGGCAGTATATAAAAAGAAACGAGAAAACATCAAAAAAAAGGGAGTACATTTTTAAACACAAACAAGACATTAGAAAATTGATCAAATACATCAGTTATCAAAATAGATATGAATAAAATTGCTATCTGGTTAAACGTGGAGGATGAAAAGCATTTTTTTACTTCATTATATATGCTGAAAAGAAACAGTAAGAGACTTTTTAAAAACCAATTTCATTTTCAATGAAATAAGGAAAAGAAACCTGCCAAAAATGAAAACTACAAGGTAGATGCGCCTACAAACAGAGCTATTTGGATCCCAAAGCAGAACACTGTTAGAGCTGACACAGAACCCTTCAGACACTGATCAGGAGACAGGTTTCCTGCTTAATGTGGCACAATATTGAAAGGCCTGTCTTGTGGTTCTTTGCTAGTAGTAAAATCAAACTCTGTGGACCGGGCATGGGAAAAGGCAAATGATGTCCCTCAAAGGACCCAATCTGAAACCAATGAACAGCAGGAGAGGTGAAGTTGAAGGACAAATACATATGCCATTTCTAATTGTCTATGACCTATCCTGGGAGCCCAGAGAGACTGCTGGAGGTGAGACACGGCCAAGAAGGAGAAGAGAAAGTCATCACTAGGTTTCAGCACAGGGAGTGTGACTAAATATGTACTACTGTGAGTTACCCAGAAATGGAGAGGGCTGTGCCAAGTATTAAAAAAAAAAAAAAAAAAGATTTGGTAAAGTGTTCAAAAAAAAAAAAAAAACAAATTCAAATAGAAATTTCAAGCTGTTCAAACTTCCTTTCTACCCCTGAAACACAATAGAAAACAGCCTGACCCTTCTGAGGATAAGTAACAAAGAGAAAAGAACCAGTTATGGACTTATGAGCAGAAACCACAATGCAAAAACAAGGGAAGGAATATCAGCCAAAGACAGAGGAAGCACACACAACCTAGGAGAAACTAAGGAAACAAACAAACAAACAGATTGCCATAGTAAGACAAATTATAAATAAAGAATAGCACAAAACATAAATATTCGAATAACAGGAGGAAGTAAAAAGTAAGCCTTCTAAAAAGATTAAAGAATAAAAAAATAGAGAGAGAGAATGGAGGCATGAGAAGTTCCACAGATCTTCTCCCTAGCCAAACAACCATAATTGGTGAAAATTATTATTTTTTAACTTAAAGTTTTTGAAAATTGTTTTAAGAGCATGCAGAAAATGAATAAACATTTTAAAAGTCTACTAAATCTTGGCAAGAACACTGAGAATTTGAGGCACTTGAGCCATGACCTGTTCTCTGTTTCCCTACTCCCAGTTCAGTATGACAGAGGCTTCAGTTCCCTGTAAAGGGTTACTGTATCTCCCCAGTAGGACCAGACTACCAGTATTTCCCATCCTCTCCCACTTTCATGTCACAGAGGCTAAATTTCAGGCTAGTGCAGCCAAGAGGTCACGCGCTCCCTTCTTTCACCCAGGCCCCACTCACAGGACAGAAGCTCTGCCCCAGGCTCAGCAGGCTGAGGTTACCAGGAACCCTATCACCCTCATTCCTGCTCACTCACAGGATAGAAGTTCCACATTGCAAGAAGCTAGCTAAGAAGACTAACAGCTATTTATTGCTACTAAATCAGGAATATTACTCCAAGAGAAGAAACAGCCATTGTCCCCACCACCTTCTCTGGAGCAGTAGCTCAGAGATATTTCCCAAGGAGAGAGGCAGGCCATAAGAACAGAGAACACCTAACCTCTCCCCAAAGGAACTGACTTTATATAAAACAGAGTATGGGGAAGTTCAAACCTAAGGACACTTTCACAAACAGGGAAGACTTTGATTGTAAAGTTTTAACTTCTTGAGAGCAACACACTAAACTATAAGCCAGATAGATTATCAGAGACAACTAGGGAAACAGCCAAGAAGTCCCCTACTGTGGTCAGAGCAAACCTCAAAGACTGGCTTATAACCTAACCCTGCAAAGAGATTCAAGTTTAATTGGATGAGACTATGGATTAATCTATGTCCCAGGACACTGGTGATAACAATAGAGCAATCTGATGGCAATTAGAGATGCCTAACAGCCGGGTATGATAGTAATAAAAGCCAATAGCTTAACAGAGAGAGCAGGGAAAGAGATAGTTAAGAAAAGCTCTGGTAAAACAACTTTCACCAGGTGACCGTGTGTGTACCCAAGGCTGTGCCCTCTAAGGAGGAATATCAGAGGCCTCACAGTAGAGAAGGAGGAATAGACATCAGTAAAATAGTCCAGACATGTTATCAAACAAATAAATAAGCAAACAACAACAATCAAAATAAAATGCCCTGCAGGATGAATCAATATCCAGAGTTGCTAAAATATATTATCTAAATACCCAGTTTTCAAAAAAAAAAAAAAAAAAAAAAAAGAGACATACAAAGAAACAGAACATACACAGAAAAACAAAGGCAGAAATAGCTTGGGAAAGGACCTAGATGTCTGACTTAACAAAGAATTCAAAACAGCCACTATAAATATGTTCAGACAGATAGACAGATATACACACATACATTACAAGGATGAAATCTACATTTGAAGCAAGAAAAGGTATCAAAAAACAATTTTCAAAAAACTGTGACTACAAGAAAAGCTTGATGAAATCACACAAGTGAAGAGACAAGAGCAAAGATTCTAAAATAGTGGAAGTTGAGACAAGCAGAAGATATATCATACACACATAATTTAATTCTTTGATGGAGAGAATAAGAAAAAAACAAAACATGAAGAAAGATATAATAGAAGAAAACTTGCTTGAAAGAAGGATATGAATCCGCTGCTTTGAAAAGACTTGTTCCAGGAAAAACAAGCAACACATAATGAAGTTGCTGAATTTCAAAGAAAATGAAATGATCATATGCAGATCTGCATTCTCTTTGACCAGTGAAAGAAAAATTTAGTTTAACATAGATATTGCTCACAAAATCCCTTCAATTTAAAATTTAAAAAATAATTTCTAAATAACTTCAGATAAAGAGAAAAACAAAACTGAATTTCTGCATACTGGCAGTATAGACATATAAATCAATGGAATGGAATGAAAAGTTCAGGAAAAACTCATATAACTGGGTGAAATGATTTTTGGCAAGTGAGCTAAGGTCAGTCAATGGAGAAAGAACAGTCTCTTCCACAGTGCTGGGACAATGGATATCCACATGCAAAAGAGTGAAGTCAGATCCTTACCTCACATTATATGCACAAATTAACTTCAAATGAATCAAAGACTGAAATATAAGAGCTAAAACCATAAAACACTTAGCAAAAAAACATAGAGATAAATCTTTAAGCCCTTGGATCTAGCAATGGTTTCTTAGATATCACACCAAAGGCACAAGCAACAACAGAAAAAAAAATAAATTGAACTTCATAAAATTAAAAATTATTTTGCATTATAAAACATTATCAAAAGAGTAAAAAACAATCCACAGAATGGGATAAAATATTTGCAAATCATATATCTGGAAAGGATCTAGTATCCAAAAAATATAAGGAAGTCTTACAACTCAACAACAAAGAAAACAACTCCATTAAAAAATGGGCAAATGATTGAATGACATTTCTCTAAAGAATATATAGAGATGATAAACATGTACGTGGAAAGATACGCAACATCACTAGTCACTAAGGAAATGAAAATCAAAACCACAATAAGATACCACCTCACACTCACTAGGATATGGCTATATGGCTGTAATAAATAAAACAATGGAAAAATAACAAGTATTACTGAGCATGTGGAGAATCGAAACCCTCATACATTGCTGGAGGGCATGTAAATGGTACACCCACTGTAGAAAAAATCTGGAGGTTCCTCAATAAGTTAAACATAGAATTAGCATATATGGCAGAGCAATCCTACTTCAAAAGAATTGAAAACAGGTATTCAGACAAAAACTTGCATGTGAATATTCAAAGCCCCCCATTCACGAAAGTAAGAAACAAGTTTCTTAGTCTGTTTTGTTGTCTACAAAATCAGATAGTTGGAGTAGTTTATACAAAGGTCCCTTCCAAGACCAGCTTTTGTAATCTTTATGTACACGAGCACCACTGTCATTAACAGCGGTCTTTTTTTTCTTTAGGAAAGTAAGATTGCCTCACACAGAGGTTACGATTTATGTTCTCAACCTCAAAGAGACATTGGAGGTGTGGGCAGATTGGAAAGGTGAATCTCATTCATTGTTAGGTAATCACTGGCAAAGTAGTTGGTAATTTTTCACATATGGTCTCCTCTCTTTCCCTTATGTGTTTCAATATCTCTTTCTAGAGAGATAGATAAAAATAAAATTTAGGCTCTAAGCACTATATCAGCTGTCATTTCAATTTGAGAACCACAGATATTATTATGTAAGAAGAAATTAGCCTTCTCTTCTCAATACTTTTCTTTAATCTCTACTTTCTGGAATATAAATGAAATATAAGAGTTCTGACTTGAATGGTAAAAAATCATTGTAATCTGGTTTATGAACTGACAACACAGATATGCAAATGGCAAGGCTGGTAAGGTAAAACATTTTAGATATAATAATATAGATCTAATATATAATTATAATTTAATATAATCTAATTATAATCTAATATATTAGATCTATATTAGATATAATATAGATCTAATATGTAATAATACATTCTAATAATAATATATAAGATATAATCAGAAAGCCCATTTTTACCAATTCCAGTTCCATGAAACTGCTCTCCAAGGGCTGCACTCCTTTCAATCCAACAAATACCTAGCCTGGTACAAAGGTAGGTCTGGATTTAGGCAAAGAAGACCATTTGCCTCCATTTCATCCCTGGATAATCAAAACCTCAACCAAAAGGTTGTCTTTGGTCAAACACAGAATGCTCACTTTTGCTGCCTCCCAAGAAAATGACCTCGTTTGTATTTGGGATGGAACTGTGGAAAGAGTTTGTCGCTTCCCAGCTTTTACTTTTCAAAGGCTCGCTGACATTCACCAAGCTCCATAATAGTTTTCAGTTCCAACCCGTTAGTTCTGAGACAGCTTTACAAAGCCACACTTGGAGGACAGAAAACAGCAATCCACGTCTCCCCTTTGTGGACAAAACAGAATCGAATCATCTTCAGAGGGGAGAAAAACCACATGAACGCAGACTGCTCAAATGATCCAGTACATCCTAGACAATCTGAAACCAACACGCATAAGGCAACATGGGTTATTTATGAGACACTGTCAGGGAAAAAGAAAAGCAAAAAACGTAACTTAAAGTTCAAGAAACCCGCACGCCACTGCTGGGGGTAGCTCTGCGTAGGACTCCACAATGTTCCCCGCATTGTTTTGTGCTGACTGCGCCCAGCTCGCGGGGCTTTTCATCGGCTCTTAAATCCACTGCTGCTCAAGCATGAAATACCTTTGGATTCCATTAAAAAAAAAATAAATGTGCTAACAAGCTGTTAAACCACATTTTACAACAAACGCATCAAACTGATGACTTAGCTTCAAAAATATGAACTAACCGAAATAATAAAGGCTTTGTAGAACTTGGATAAATGAAGTGATTGCCTCACAGTGAGGGAGATCTGTGGGGCACATCACTGTGTAATCAAAAAAATAAGTTCCTGGTCCTCAGAGAAACATTCAAAATGCTCTGCCTTGCCTACCTACAGTCCTGAGCCCAAAGGGTTTGAACAGGGGGAAAAACAACACAGGTACAAAAAAAAGAAGCAGGCAGGGGTGGGAGAAAGAAAGAAATTCAGTCAGTTCTTTGATTAACAAGACTTCTAGCTGGACTTAAGTACAAACAGCTGCCTAGACTCCAACAGCCAAGCCTAAATCTAAACACTCCACTGTTTACATAACCCAAACTTAATCAAGCGACCATCTAATCCACCAATTTAAAGTATCCCTAAGAGTTTCAGTGTAATGTTGGTTTTCTCACAAGCCCAGTCCATCAACAAGCTGTTTAAAAATGCCAGTGATTGCAGCTCTGTTCCCAGTCTTGTAGCATCTCCTGCCTGGTCATGCTACAGGGATGTTTAGGGGAGAACTGTTAGATAATGTGGGGTCATAAAGTACTTCCTGTTATTCTTCGGTTGGCATAGTGCACTGTGTTTGTTTATGAAACCCAGAATCCAGGTTGTATTTATAAGACAGTTTGGTTTGATAACGTATAATTTTATAGCAATATTGTTACTAATAAGGAAATACATTTCTTTGTCAGAAACTTGATAACTACATGTCAAAAAATATTATAGGAGATGTGCTCTAGGATGACCAGTAAAGGTAATTTTCATGAGGAAAAGGATAAGAAAAGGGAACTTATCATGATAAAGGTACTAGAAAAAGGAAAATGCTCATGAATATGAACTGAGGCTAAAATGTCAAATGCCAACAGAGGCCAAAATCAAAGAAGTTAACTGGGTCCCAGTGTAGGGCAGTCAATATGGAACTATGGAGACTATGGCAGGTACCCACCTAAGGAAGGTACATGCTACATAACCACAACCCACTTAAAAAAAAATTAAACATGTGCTGAGATATAATTCACATACCATGTAATTTACACATTTAATATGTGCAATTCCATTATTTTTAGTATAGTGACAGATTTGTGTAACCATTATCACAATCGCTTTTAGAACATTCTTATTCCCCAAAAGAAATCCCGTGTGCCCTTTAGCAGTCACTCCCCATTTCCCTCCAAATGCCCAGCCCTGGGAAACCACTAATCCATCACCTCTACAGATTTGCCTATTCTGGATATTTCATATACATGAAATCATACAATACCTGGTCTTTTGTAACTTGTTTCTTTCACTCAGCATAATTTTATAAGGACTCCAACTCATTGTTTGCCACAAATGTGGGCCCAGTGTGGCCAGATCTTTCAAATTTTCAGAGAAGTTGGAAATAGGGATTCTTATGTGAAATTTCCAAATGTTAAATATTGACCACGAGTTCAAATGAGATGCACACTGTACAGTTTTCCCCGCAGTGGAAACCAAACAAATATGTCTGCCCATTGAATTCATACATGGACCACAATTTCATTCCTTCTGGGGTTCATGAGACAGAGGGAGGGAAAAAGAGTGAAGCAAAATTCAAGAAAGCAGGAAAGGGTCTAACACACCTAGGCAAGAAATGAAGAGAGGAAGGTCTGGAAGGGAGAGGCAAGAGACTTCCATAGAGCAAACAGTCTGACTCTGAATTTGGTCAGAAGGGCCACCACAGCCTCAGCCAGGCTTGCTCTGACTCTGCCTTGGGGTATCAAAGCAGGATCTCACTTAGTTGCACACATAGGCCCTGAAAAAAAAAATAGCTTATTTCTAGAGAGAGAGAATGAGAGTCTAGCACTTTTAATAAGGTAATTCATTGAGATATTCATTTGTGTTAAATTAACCCTGTAAAACCCAAACTCTTGAGGAAATAATGTTAGATGTTAAGTACCCAGGGAAAAAGAAAGAAGAGAGTTTCTCAAAGAAGAGAGGCAAAAGGAGTGGAAGAGGAAGGACTCCCAGACTGAGAAAAGCAGGGCTAGTTGGTAGGTCCCACTGAGAGCATCACGGGAAAATCTCAGAGGAGAATAGCTGCTTATCTAGAAAGGCTGAGGCTGGATATGCAGTTACCAATGTAAGTTTAAAACTCCTATGCTGAAATTTATCATGGAGCAAAAGCGAATCTTTTAAGTCCCATGAGGGCTTAGCTAGCAGAGAACATTGGCAGAATCTTGATGGTCTGGAGTAGAGGAGGCTCTTGGCTCTTCTGGATTGATATATGATTTTCTGGGAAGATTATTTCAATATCTTCTATACTATACAAACTAGACGGGCACACCTCAATTTATTGCATTTGTCTTTATTATGTTTTTCAGATATTGCATTTTTACAAATTGAAGGTTTGTTAACAACCCAGCATCCAGCAAGCCTATCAGTGCTGTTTTCCCAACAGCATGTGCCTACTTTGTGTCTCTGTGTTACATTTTGGTAATTCTCAAAATATTTCAAAGTTTTTCATTACTTTTATATCTCTTATTGTGACCTGTGATCAGTGAGCGTTGGTGTTATTATTTTAATTCTTTTGGGGCACCACTAACCACAGCTATAGAAGACAGTAAACTTAATTCATAAATGTTGTATGTGTTCTGACTGCTCCAATAGGCTGTTCCTCCATCTCTCTCCTGTTCTGGCCTCTTTATTCTCTGAGGCACAACAATACTGAAATTAGGCCAATAAATAACACAACTATGGCCTCTAAGTGATCGGGTGGAAGGAAGAGTTGTAAGTCTCTCACTTGAAATCAAAAGCTAGAAATGATTAAGCGTAGTGAGGAAGACATACCAAAAGCCCAGACAGGTCAAAAGTTAAGCCGGTCATACCAGTTAGCTAAGTTGTAAATGTAAAGGAAAAGAAGGAAGGAATTAAAAGTGCTATTCCAGTGAACATACAAATGATAACAAAGTGAAAAAGCCTTATTGCTGATATGGAGAAAGTTTGAGTGGTCTGGATTAAAGATCAAACCAGCTACAACATTTCCTTAAGCCAGAGCTTAATCCAGAGCAAGACTTCTACTCTCTTCAATTCTAGGAAGCCTGAGAGAAGTGAAGAAACTGCAGAAGAGAACTTGGAAGCTAGCAGAGCTTGGCTCATGAGGCTTAAGTAAAGAAGCTGTCTCCATAACATAAAAGTGCAAGGTGAAGCAGCAAGTGCTGATGCAGAAGTTACAGCAAGTTACTGAGAAGACCTAGTGAAGATAATTGATAAAGGTGGCTACACTAAACAGACTTTGAATGGAGATGAAAACTCCTTGTCTTGAAGAAAATGCCATCTGGGACTTTCATGGCTAGAGAGAAGCCAAGGCCTGGCTTCAAAGTTTCAAAGAACAGGCTGACTCTCTTCTTAGGGGTTAATGCAACTGGTGACTTTAGGATGAAGTCAATGTTTATTTACCATTCTGAAATGTCTAGGGCCCTTAAGAATTATACTCAATCTACTCTGCCTGTGTGCTAAAAATGAAACAAGGCCTAGATGATAGCACATCTGTTTACAGCATGGTTTACTGAAAATTTTAAACCCACTGTTGAGATTTACTGGTCAGATAAAAAGATTTGTTTCAAAATCAGTAACAATGCATCTGGTCACCCAAGAGCTCTGATGGAGACTTACAAGGAGCTGAATGTTGTTTTCCTGTCTGCTAACACAGCATCCGTTCTGTAGCCCATGGATCAAGGAGTAATTTTGATTTATAAGTCTTACTATCTAGGAAATACATTTTTAAGGTTACAGCTGCCATAGATAATGACTTTTTTGATAGATCTGTGCAAAATAAATTGAAAACCTTCTGAAAAAGACTCACCATTCTAGATGCCATTAAGAACATTCATGACTCATGGGAGGAGGTCAAAATATCAATGTTAACAGGAGTTTAGAAGAAGTTGACTCCAACCTTTATAGATGACTTCAAGGGGTTCAAGACTTCAGTGAAGGAAGTAATTGCAGATGTGGTAGAAATAGCAACAGGACTGGAATTACAAGTGGAGCCTTCAGGTGTGACTGAATTGCTGCAATCTCATGAAAAAACTTTCCTTGATAAGGAGTTTCTTCTCATGGATGAGCAAAGAAAGTCTTCTCTTAAGATGGAATATACTCCCGGTGAAGATTCTATGAATATTGTTGAGATGACAACAAAGGATTTAGAATATTACATACATTTAGTTGATAAGGCACTGGCAGGATTTGAGAGAACTGACTCCAATTTTGAAAGAAGTTTTGCAGTCATTAAAATGCTATCAAACAACATCACATGCTACAGAGAAATCTTTTGTAAAAGAAAGAGTCAATTGATGCAGCAAACTTTATTGCTGTCTTTTTTTTAAGGAATTGCCACAGCCACTCCAGCCTTCAGCAACCACAATCCCGATCAGTCAGCAGCCATTAACATCAAGGCAAGACCCTCTACCAACACAAAGAGTATGACTGGATAATTGTTAGCATTCTTTTAGCAATAAAGTATTTTTTATTAAGGTATGTATTTTTTATTAAGGTATGTATTTTTTAGACATCATGCTATTGCACACTGGATAGACTACAGTAGAGTGTAAATGTAATTTTCATGTATACTTGGAAACCAAAAAATTTGTGTCACTCACTTTATTGCAATATTAACTTTATTGTGGTGACCTGGAACCAAACCTGCAGTATCTCCAAGGTATACCTGTAGTTTACTTGATGAGTGTCTGTTTTTCTAGAAATAGAAATCCCATATCCCAGGGCCACCAAATTCAATCCACTGTCAAGGTTGAGTTCTTCAGGGGACAACTTTATGGGAGTAGACAGTATCTTGTAAATCTTTGCAGAGATAAACAGTCATTAGAATCCTATTTGAAAGCCTGTCACTTTCTACTCAATTACCATAAGTCTGGCATTGAGGACACAATGATTTTCTTTACTATTTCTAGGATTTACTCTCTTTAGGAATTTCTCCTTGCAGGTTTGCATTGGATTTAACTTGGGTGAAATTCAACTGCATTTTAAAAGTGTTTATTGTCTATGAATCCTGTGCCAGAATAGGTTCAGGAAGGCATCAACTTTACCCCCATAGAATTCACAGTAAGTCAATAACTACACACATTTTACTATAGTTTAATTTGTGGACACCATGAAAATGAACAAAGTGCTACTAAGGTACATTAGACTAGCAAGAACCTTGGACATTATCCCCAAATGAAAATCTTACCAAGTAATTATTTAAAGTTTGTTAAACTTAACCATTTAAAAAATAAGTATTAGAATTATTATCACAGATAAGTTAAACAACAAAATAAATAGAATTAAATGAATCATTGTATATCTTTATCCCACGTAGCTGCAGTATAAACCTTCATTGTAAAACTATATTGAACATTGACTAAACTTAAGTTCAGTCTATTATATTTGATTATAATAGACACTCAAAAAGTAACAAAATATAGAAATTACAGACAATACAGTCTTTGAATGCAAAAGTTTTTTATTAAGTTTGAAAATTCTAAAGTATCCTCTTAGATAATTCATTGTCAAAAAGGAAAATCAAAACTATAATTTACAATATGATGAAGGTGAAATTAATATCAATAAATGGTTTGGAGATGTTAACTATTTATAAACGTAAAAATTTGGATCAATACCTTATAACATATACTAAAATTTGTTTCAGAATGAGTAAATGTTTGAATGCAGGATTGATACGTAAAAACGTGGAGGAAGATATTACAAAGAACCTGGGCTCAATGGTTCATGCCTGTAATCCCAGCACTTTAGGAAGCTGAGGTGGCAGGATTGTTTGAAAAAAAACTTTTTTAGAGATAGGGGTCTCACTGTGTCGTCCAGGCTGGCCAGGAACTCCTGGCCTCAAGCAATCCTCTTGACATAGCCTCTCAAAATTCTGTGATTACAGGCATGAGTCACTACATCTGGACAAAGTCATTTAAATATAGATATTTTTAATATATAAAAGTTAAAATTTCTATATATCATAAATGAAAATTTAAAAACATATTGGGAAATATATTTACACTATAATGACAGAGTTAACACCTTTTATTTATAAAATATCATACAACATGCTCCAAAAGAAAGTACATAGACATTAAAAAATTAAAATAGGCATAGATACTAAGATAGGCATAGACATTAAAAAAAAAAACTCAACCAACAAACATAAGAAAAACCTGTAAAAAGTCACTAGTACTAGAAAAACATTCAAATCAGGAAAAGGAGTTACCACATACCACCAAAAAAGCTGACAAATAATTTCTTTAACTTCATTTGGATAAGGAAATGCATGGTCTCACATGGACAGCTGGTTGTTTCATAATTTATACATTCCTATAAGACAATTTAGCGGTATATATCAAAAGCTTTAAAAATGCTCCTCCCACTTTAACCCCACAATTTGTGTCTGGAAATTCATTTTAAGTAAATAATCCTAGATTCATACTCAGATTTATGTATAAGGACATATATTACTATGAAATTTATAATAACAAAAAAAGAAAACTAAATAACTGAAAAGAGCAAATTAATTAAATAAAATGTGTGCACACAATGAACTGATATATAGTCAATAATACCATTTTCTAAAATACATGATGATACATGAAAATACTTATGATGGGCTGGGTGCAGTGCCTCACGCCTGTAATCCTAGCACTTTGGGAGGCCGAGGTGGGTGGATCGCGAGGTTAGGAGTTTGAGACCATCCTGGCCAACATGGTGAAACCCCCGTCTCTAATAAAAATACAAAAATTAGCTGGGCATGGTGGCATGCACCTGTAGTCCCAGCTACTTGGGAGGCTGAGGCAGGAGAATCGCTTGAACCCGGGAGGCAGCGGTTGCAGTGAGCCGAGATCGCGCCACTGCACTCCAACCTGGTGACAGAGCATGACTCCCTCTCAAAAAAAAAAAAAAAAAAAAAAAAAAAAGAAAAAGAAAATACTTATAATGGAATTAACAAAGCCTTACATATAATGGAATCACAATTTTGTTTAAAACAAAAAAGCCTGTCCTTTGTGGAGAAAGACTAGAAGGAAGTACATCAGAATGCCAATGATAGTTGTCACAGCTCAGGGAGGGTTGGAATAACAATACTTAGTTTCATATTTATCTACATATAACAAATATTATAGTATTGGGATTTTATTTTTTATATTTATCTATATATACCAAAAATTTCAACTGTATATAGTTTTACAATGAATGATTTTATTACTTAAAATTTACAAATAAATACTATTCAGAAAAGATGAAAATCATTAGAGTTCTCTCAAAACTTCTGAAAGCAGCGAAAGCTTGGTTTTGAGAACAATGTATAGCATTTATTTTGTAAATAAATTAAAAACAAAAATCAGTAAAATGTGAATTTAAAACAAGTATTTATTTAAAAAAAGAAGAAGAAGAAGCCCTACCAAAATAGCAAGAGAAAAATAAAAAATAACAACAAAAGATGCAGGGGTGGGTGGCTTCAAGATGGCTTACTAGAGTCATCTGGTACTTGCCTCCTCCAAAAAATAGAGCCAAAATGGCAAGTACATAATCACACTTCAAATAGATCATCTAAAAGAGAACGCTGGAATTCAGGGAAGTGATAGGCAACCCCTCAAGCAAGGAAGGAGAGGGAAGTGAGGCAGTCTGCTCAGCCAGGATCAGCTGGGAATCTGGAGAGGACCCCAATGTGGGAAAGGGTACATGAGGGACCCCCAATGGTCCACATGCTCAAGGTAGACTCCTGTGATCCTAACTGCAGAAGAGGCCCTCAATCCTCATGGGCCCTAAGACTAACACAGGGAGCTGCCTGGAAACCACAAGATTACATTGCTCCAGAGAGGGAGCTCAAGTCTGGCTCCCACACACTTCTGAGTCATAAGCAGATAGAGCAAGGCACCATTTTCAGAGCCATTCCCCACCAGAATGCAGCCCCCTCTGGGGCTCAACAGCCCTGGCATCTCCACATTCCTGGAGCTCCACTGATACCTGCCATCTACAGCCAACTGCTATGGCTGGCTATGGCCACCAGGGCCGAAGCAGGAGCCACTGGGAGCAACTCTGCTGTCCCTAAGCTAAGCTGCCACACGGTTTCATATGTCCTAAGAACAGACTCCCCTGCCTATAGCCACTACTGCTGTGGCCAAAGTGTGAGCAAAGCTTGCACTTCCCAGCTGCCTGCCTATGGCTGCTGCTACTGAAAACAACCACACATAGCAGGGTTGCAGTGCAGACAGTACCACCCCCACCGAAGCATTTTGTTCCTGCCTACCTATCACCTCACTACTGCCTACCACAGCAAGTGCCTACGTGTACCACAAGGGGACCTGAGGACAGGTTCAGCCAACCTGGCCTCACCATTCCAGTGCCCAAAAACAACATCCGGAGACTTGGGAATTGCCCAGCCCTGTCTACCACTATTGCCGCCTGAGCACTCCTCCCAGGGGATTGAGGTTAGGCCCACCCAATCTGCCTCTATCACTACAACTACCACACGCATACACACACACACACACACACACACACACACACACACACACCACCTTGCCAGCCTGGGGTGTGGCCCAGCCATTGCCGACACCAGTGCAGGCTGCTTGGGAATCAGAGCCTTGTTCCATTACTGCTACTGATATTGCCCATGCCATACCTTCTGCCCAAGAACCAGAGATCATGCCCAGCCAGTCACTGCCACTACCAGCCCTGAAGGAGGCCACCTGGAGGCCCAAGAATTAACCCACCTGGGCCTGCTGACATCAGTGCCAGTATATACCACCCCAGGGCCCAAGGAGAGGGCAGTAGGCTTGACCCACCACTGCAGCCACTAAGGTCCAAGAACTGGCCCAGCTGGCATCCCGGTACCCAGAAAAATTTCACCACAGCCTCCACTAACAACCACACCCTAAGCCACTGAGGAAATAGCAGACACCACTGACACTGTTTACAGCTAAAGAAATCATGTGGAAACTGCACTACTGCATATACCCAGATACAAAGCCAAAGTGCCCTACCCAACCAACACCATAGATACCTCTCCAGGAAAAAGTTCTCACCTATGAAAGCAAATCCAAAAAATTAGAATAAATGACTATTACTCAAGATGCCCAGGTATCAACATAAAAACAAAGGAAGCCTGAAAAAGCAAGGAAATATCATGCCTTCCAAGGAATGCAATAATTCTCCAGCAATGGATTCCAATAAAAAAGAAATTTATAAAACTCCAGAAAAAAATTTAAAATACCGATATTAAGGAAGCTCAGTGAGATACAAGATAATATATAAAAGCAAGACAAAAATCAGGAGAACAATTCAGGACATGAATGATAAATTTACTGAAGAGGTGGATATCATTTAAAAAAGAACCAAACAAATTCTGGACGCAGAGAATTCATTAAATGAAATACAAAATACATTTGAAAGCTTTAACAATGGACTAGATCAAGGAGAAGAAACAATCTCAGAACTTGAAGACAGGTTTTTAAAAATAACTCATGGAGACAAAAATAAG
Organism: Homo sapiens; assembly: GCF_000001405.40. Lineage (NCBI taxonomy): Eukaryota > Metazoa > Chordata > Mammalia > Primates > Hominidae > Homo > Homo sapiens. The sequence goes on along the minus strand of NC_000020.11, from coordinate 6,524,433 downwards.
AAATAAGAATGAACGAAGCCTATGTGACATATAGGACACCACAAGGCAACCAAATATTCAAGTTTTCAGTGTCCCAGAAGGCAAAGAAAAAATGAAAGGGATAGAAAACCTATCTAACAAAATAATAGCTGAAAACTTCACAAGTCTAGCAAGAGATTTAGACAACCAGATATAGGAGGCTTTGAGGTCCCCAAATAGATACAATGTAAAAAGGTCTTCTCCATGACACACTATAGAGAAACGTACTAAAGTCAAAGACAAAGAGAAAATTCTACAACAGTCAGGAGGAAAGTGTCTAGTCCCAAGTAGAGGAACCCACACCAGATTAATAGTAGATTTCTCAGCAGAAACCTTACAGGTCAGAAGAGAATGGGATGATATATTTAAAGTGCTGAAAAAAATCTGCTAAGGATGCAATAACCTCTCCAAAACAATCCTTCATATACAAAGGAGAAATAAAACTTTTCCCAAACAAGCAATAGCTGAGGGATTCTATCACCACTAAACTGGTCCTACAAATGATGCTTAAGGGAGTTCTACACCTGACAGCAAATGGAAGATAGCTACCATCATGAAAACGCATGGAAGTATAAAACCCACTGATAAAGCAAATACACAAATAAGGAAGAGGAAGGAAAGGACTCAAATGTTACCACTACAGAAAACCACAGTCACAATGATAAACAAGAAAGGAATAAATGACACACAAAATAGCCAGAAGTCAATTAATAAAATCACAGAAATAATCTCTTACATCTCAATAATGGCCTTAAAGGTAAAAAATTAAACTTTACTTAAAAGATATAGACTGGCTGAGTGGAGTTTTTAAAAAGCGACCTAGCTATATTCTGCTTACAAGACACTCATCTCACACGTAAAGACACATATAAACTGCAAGGAAAGGGATGAAAAAAAAAATTCCAAGCAATAAGAAAACAAAAGTGAGCAGGAGTAGCTGTACTTATATATCAAATACAACAGACTTCATGACAGGCAGGAACTGTTTTAGGAACTTTCCATACATAATTTTAACTTAGTCTTTCAAACAACCATGAAAAGTGGGTGTTTTTATACTCATAGCAAAGAATGGGAAAGTGAGTTTCAATAAGGTTAGGTAATTTCCTAAAGGCATACACTTAATAATTTATTTATCTTGGATTTAAATTTCTCCCAAGCTCATTTTCTCTAAACCATACCATACTGCCCACAGATAGAAGAAAACTGGCTGGTCAAAACATTACCATCAGAGATTTATAAGATTTGGCCATACTGATACCGTATTTTTCAAACATGCCATTTCATATATTTGTGTCTCGGCCTTCTTACTCCCCTTTATCTTAAAAGTTTGCCCATTTTTGAATTTTTTCTATTCCACCTCATTCTATGATATTAGAATCAATTCTTATAGAACCTTTCTTGTTGTCCAAGTCTAATTCATTATTTGTATATGCCAAGACTTTCTTGACTGCAAGTAATAAAAACCCAACTCATATTAGCTTAAGCATAAAGGTATTAGTAACTGGAAATGTCAGGATTATTAGGACCTAGTCTCAATCTCTCTGCTCTGTGGCCCTCTGTGCTGGTCCCATTGACAAACAGGAACTTCTTTCACTACAGCAATATAAAGACCAATCATTCTGGGATTCCATCATCACAATTTTGAGTTCAGGAAAGAGGAAGAAGCATCTCTCCCAGACGTTTAAACCAAGTCCTATGCCTGATTTTCACAGTCCTGTATCAGTCTTTGAACCAGTCACTCTGTGAGCAGGATACAATGCTGTGATTGGCCAGGCCAGAAACAAGTATCCAGCTTTGGAGTCAAAGGTGGAGTCAAGATCACCTAAGGGAGTTCCACAGAGGAAAAAGTGGGTGATATTACAAAAAGTAGTTCTCATAAATCACAGGTATCCACAATAGTCACTGGATTCTCCAGCCCTTTATGCAACCTCTGAAGTAGCCCTTATTATATTGTAATGTTTTATGTGTTTATTTTTTACATACCAAGTTTAATTATAATTTTACTTTGACATATAAAATAGTAATTGGAAAACATTTTTCATTAGTCTATAAGCTTTTAAACTTTAATTCATTTACCCAATATATTCTACCATAGTGGATAAATTTCAAATTTAGTTATAATGAAAAATCCTGAGGTCCCAAATTAATAATAATAGTAGTAGTAGAAATTATTATTGTAGCTAGTATATTTAGGGCTTATTGTATTCTAAATATTATGCTAAGTGGTTTTTACAGATTGCTAGTATTTAAAAGACAAAAGATAAAAAGTGTTGGCAAGGATGTGGAACATGGGAACTCTAGTATACTGTTGGTGAATTTGTAAATTGGTATGATATTATGTAATACAGTATGGAAGTTCCTCAAAATATTAAAAATAGAACTATGGTATGACCCAGCAATCCCACCATTGGATATGTATCCAAAAACATGAAATTAGTTTGTTGAAGAGATACTCACACTCTCATGTTCATGGCAGCATTTTTCATAATAGCCAAGGTATGAAATCAACCTAAGTGTTCATCAGTGGTTGAAAGGATAATGAAAATGTGGTATTTATACACAATAGAATACTATTCAGCCTTAAAAAAGAAAAAAAAATCCCTGTCATTTGTGACACAGATAGACCTGGGGGATGTTATGTGAAATAATGTAATCCAGGCACAGAAAGATAAATACTGCATGATTCTCACTTATAGGTGGAATCTAAGAAAAGTTGATATCATAGAGTCAGAGAACAGAATGACTGGTGATTACCAGGGGCTAGAGGATGGGGGCATTGGGGAGATATTGGTAATATCAGTTAGAATGAGTAAGTTCCAGAGGTCTATTGTATATCCTGATGATTATAGTTAATAATAATATATTGTATATTTGAAAATTGCTAAGAGGGATTTTTGTGTTCTCAATGCATAAAAATGATATGTGAAGTAATGTATATATTAATTGGCTTGATTTAGTGATACCACAATGTATACATATATCAAAACGTTATGTTGTCCACCATAAATATATACAATTTTTGTCAATCAAAAATAAATAAACACAATTTTAAAAAGTAAAATAGAACTACCATATTAGCCAACAATCCCACTTCTGGGTATATATATCTGAAGGAAATAAAATCACTATCTCAAAGAGATATCTGCATGCTCACGTTTGTTGCAGCATTATTCATAGTAGCCAAAATATGGAAATAAAGTATCTGAATACAGAAGAATGGGTAAAGAAAATGTGATATATATATACACAATGGAATACTATGCAGCCTTTTAAGAAAAGGAAATACTGTCATTTGCAACAACATAGGTAAAATTGGAGGACATCATGCTAAGTGAAATAATCCAGACACAGAAAGACAAATATTGCATGACCTCACTAATGGTAGAACCTTTAAAAAAATCAAACTCAAAGTAACAGAGAGTAGAACAGTGTTTAGCAGGAGACTGGGGATGGGGAGAAAAGGGAGATGTTAGTCAAAGGGTACAAACCTTCAGTTATAACATGAATAAGTTCTGGATTTCTGGAGACCCAATCTACAGAATGGTGACTGTAGTTAATAACAAATATATCATATGCCTGAAATTTGCTGAGAGAGTAGATCTCAAGTGTTCTTACCACAAAAAAGAAAATAGTAACTAAGTGAGCCGATGGATATGTTAGCTTGATTGTGATAATCATTTTACACACTTTCCTCCTGCTGTTGTAGAATTTTCTCTTTGTCTTTGACTTTAGTAAGGTTCTACATTACTACAGACTTTACCATTAATCTGGTGTGGGTTCCTCTACTTGGGACTAGACACATTTTACAATGTGTGAATACATCGAAACATAACATTGTACACCTTACATATATACAATTTTTCATTGTCATTCTTCCCCCAGTAAACTTGGGGTTGAGAGAAAGTTCAACAAACTCCCCCAAAGTCACTGAGGCAATATGAGGTGAGCTCAGATTCTTACTTAAGTCTGAGTCCAGGGAGTCTTTCTGTTAATCAGTATGTGATACTGCCATAAGTAATATGTAAACTTTTTTCGACTCATTGTTTTAATACTATCATCAATTAAACCTAAATAGTCCCTTCTTCTCAAAAATCTCCAAATACCCCCAGAAGGATCATGCTATTAATTTTACAATGTCAGTCCAAGGGTTACCATCTTTGACTTATGAATGGTAATGCTGAGGTTTTGAGACAGAGAGAGCTTAAATTGCCCTGATCAGACTCCATCTGAATCAAACCTCATGTTTTCTGCTTTCCGTTTCTGTCCTCTTCACTGGAACACTGAACGCACAGTGTTTATATATTACATGTTTAATGGAGACATTATACATATAATGTTATGAAGAACAAAATACTGATGTGGTAAAAGTACACTCAGTATACTAACTTTGAAAAAAATATGATATCTACGCCATCTATAAAGTGTTTCCCACCATGAAACCTCACTCCTTTAGAAAACCAAATTCTTGTAATGGAAAAAATGATTCAATTAAAATAAGAACATTGTCCAGGAGAAAATAAATCTGGGATCAATAGATTGAGGTTTTCCTACACTATTTCAAAGATCCCTGGTTATTACCAAATGTTTCAGTAGCAACAGAGGTTAGATAAACAAAGGATAGTAGTGTACCTTACTCTCAAAATAATCTGAACAATTATGACTCAGAAAAGAGTCATACTGCAGACTTGAAGAAATAAGCACAATGTGCTCTTGTGGCTGAGAAGGCTACAGAATCCTAAACAGCATGAAAAAGACTATTGGAAACGGAGCAGAAAACTTTATCCACCCCCTCTATGGAAACATGGTTTACCCACACCTGGAGCCATGTGTATCATTTGGTCATTATAGCTCAAGAAAACCAAGAACTGGAATGGAGACAACCAGAGAAGAGCTATTAAACTGAACAAGGGGCTTCTTTATGAGAACAGACTAAGAAACAGAACTCTTCGGTTTGAAAAGACAAAGTAAAAGAATAAAAGAATATAGCAAAGAGTCTAAAATCTTAAAGTGTGTGGCTAACAAGAATACAGACTTTACCATCAACATTTTAAAAAGTTAAATCTAGGAGTAATAGAGAAAAATTCTCCTTGGTTAATAAGCATATCAAGTTTATTATCCCAAGAGATACTATAGGTCACAAAAATAAGTAATTTAAAAATATTACTTTATTGATAATGCCAAGAGTTCAGTCAGGAGACCAAGAAGCAACTAATGTTTGGAGAGCAGCTTTATGATGGGATACCAAGTAGACTAGAGATTGATCGCCTGTGCTTTTAGGCTTCTAAAATTTACATGAAAGGCAACCATGAAATTGCTTCCACAAGACATTCTTTCTTACTATTGCTGAAAACAGAACACTATACTCTTAGTAGAAAATTAAGTCAACTAAAATTAAATTAACAAACCCTAAGACATTGTTAAGATTCTTCCAAGGAGTTAAGTCCCTCCATAATACCAGTAAGATCTGTCTTCTAGCTAAATTCAGTTAGCTCTGGATGCTCCTTTTCCAACTGCCACTCACAGTGATATGAATGGAGCCCAGAAATCCTTCCTCGTAGTATAAAGATTTGTGAGCAATTATCTGAAAAAGCCATCTGATTAATTGATCGTGTTGGAAATATCTGTAATTCCCAGCGATGTCTCCTCCTTTCTGCGCATGTTCCCCTCACTCTACCTCTCATCTCTTGATGGATGTGTGAGGACTGTAACAAGTATAGCCAGAGCCTTTCCATAGCATTATAAAAGTTATCCCCAAAGAAGGATCATACAAGAGGCTGAGTAAATGACATTCTTCATGGGCTAACTATCCAAGTATCAGTATGTCTGGGATTTACGGGCTAATTCTTCTTTTCACAGCACAGATAGAGGTAGGAGGAAGAATCTTGAGAATCTTGAATTCTATAACCAGCTTATATTTGGCTTCCTCTGTCACCTGAAATGTTAGTATGCCAGATATTTGGTGGATTGAATTAAGAAAGCTTAGAAATGAAGCCAGCCAGAATGTGTAAGACAAAGGGAAAAATCATAGGGAAGCTGCAATAAATGAACAGCCAGAGACTGAAGAAAGACCAGAAGATACTTACAGGGGAATATGAATGTTTTAGCTTTGCCTGCTATTTGATTTTAATCGAGTTCGCGTGTCTTTTGAAGATCACCTGCTGGGAATTTAAGAAAATAATGAAGCAACTGTTTAGGTCCAAACATTCCTCAATAAAACAAACTCCAGGTTTTAGAGCTATGTGTGAGCTACTGCTATTAAATGGGAGAAACGAGCCTGCTATAATAAGAAGAAATAATGTGTTTGGCTAATGTCTACAGGCTCTCTTCAGTATGCTGTGATTAAAATGACATCTCCAGAGGTGTACTTGTTTGTTTGTAAGATTGTTGCTTCAATTTAGTCATTACTTCTAAAGTTTCCAGGGAAAAAACCCAAAGGGTAGTTTTCCCCTTAAATATAATGTGTTTCATTCTTTTAAACATTTATTACTATTAGCCCTGGAATCTGGCTCCTCTATTATTTGGGGTATGGTTGGCTGTTTTCCAAGAAGGCAGTTTGGTGACTCCAGGACACCAAGTACCCAGAATGGTTCTACTGGGTAATTCAGTAAGCGCCAGGCGCTCTCCCTTAAGACTATTAAATGTGAACCTTGCATTCTAACGTGAATGGACAGAAGCTGTTTCAATAGCAGACCCTTAAAATAGTGAAAATTGCAGCCACACAAATGGAAGAGACTGACAATCCAATAACCAACTGCATTTCATTTCGAAACAAGTTACATATTCATTTCAGGTAAATTGGCCTTTCTGATTATGATGCTTGGGAATGGGGCCATAGAAGGATAGAAAGTAAAAGATCTCAGGAGAATGCCAGGCAATGAAATCTGATTCCAATTCACTAATTGTGCTGTTAGGGGAACGGAGCACAAATGCACTAGCATTACGTTCCCAGATATTTCAGTTCTTGTGTGAGTGGGTGCATGGCTATTATTTTCAGTGTTTTTGCCCATCAGCTTACCATGAAAGGTTTCTGCTAGGCGTAATCCTAGCTGATTAGACTTCACTGCTTTTCCATTTATCAATCTACTCTACAAAGTAATGATGCTACTAAAGACCAACAAGCCCACCCAAAGAAAGCCAAGGCAGCCATCATGCCTTAATAAAACTCTGTGGCCTTGAAATACTCCCATCTGGAAAGTTCAGAATTTACTCTAAAACCTTTGCCACAGTTTCTTAAAATCCTTGGATAAATTATTTCAAGCTTCAAGTTAAAAGACAAAAAGTTTAAAACTCAAGTAATTTATAAAACATATATCTAACTTTCATTTCTATATCAGCTCAAGGCAGCAACTAAGATTTGTCCTTGCTTCCTAACGACACTGATGCAAGCATTATTCTTAATTTTATTTTTAATATACATAAAGCAACTGAGGGTCAGAGGCAATAAATAATTTTTCCAAGGTCACACAGCTAGCTAGGAACAGGACTGGAATTTGATTCCACAGTTATGCTCACTATCATGAGGAGAACCATTGGTTCTTGTCAATAAAGACTTAGTATGAAGTCCATTCACAGCATTTTAGGATTTCTTTTGAAAAATGGTGAGCTATTCGAAGTTGACCACATTTGAGTGCACCCAACAATAATTAACAATACTTGACTTAGGATGGGGTTATGTCCCAATGAGCCCATTGTAAGTCAAAAATATCATAAATTGAAAATGTATTTAATGCCCCATAAAACCATCATAAAGTCAAAAAATTATAAGTCAAGCCATTATAAGTCAGAGACCATCTGTATTCAAAAGACTTTTAGATGTAAATTGAGTGCTGTGACATTTAAGGCACTGCTCTAGACACTGAGCTAAGAGCCCTGGGCTATACTGTCTGGACTTTAGAACTTAAAGAGACATGAAAATCCAAACATCACATTTGTATACTAGAATATTAAACAACCCCGGGGACTAAATGTCTGGCTTGTAGTCACAAAGCCAGTTTGTTGTAGAATTGAAGCTAGAATTCAGACTCCTTGAAATCTAGAACAGTGCCCCTCCCATGTACAATTCGAGAAGCACAAGACAAGTCTTAGCCCTGAAGGAACTTGTAGTTTAACTGGGGAGACAGATGCAAAACTATTAGATATTTTTTTACAAATGTGACAAAATTTAAACTTCAACAAAGATGATAAGGCAAGTTGCTGTAAGAGTACATTATGGCCAAATAGGGTTATAATTCGGAAGAGTGAGAACTTAATGTAGGCTAGAGAGTCATCCTCAAGGGGAGTTATACTTAGCCATCTGAAAGGAGTTTATAGAAGATACATGGAGAATTATTTAAGTGGTAGAAATTATGTATTAATAAGTATAACTACCAAAACTATCACACCAGAAAGACAAAGATTACATGGAGAGCCAAGTAGGACTTCTATGATCCTCCTATCCTTGATAATAGCATGCATCACTCTAATTTACTTGTGTTTCTGTAAGTTTTTTCCACCAGTGAACTCTTATTATAGTACCTGATACATATTAGGAGTTCTAAAATACCTCAGATGAATAAACAAATGAATAGAAGCTTTGATTAGAATTGTGGATTAGATAACACCAGAAAAAAAAAAAGAGTACTTTCGGGATTAAAAAAAAAAAAACAACATAAAGGACTTCACTCACTCTCTGTTCATATCCAAAGTTATCAACAATCCCAAAAAAAGCATAGATAGAGCCTACTATCAGCATAGTACTAATAACAGCCAGCTTATCAGCCCACTGACATCATCTAGCAATGGTAAATTACTTCAGATTGTGGAAGGCATTCACCAGCTAAAAGTTCCTTTCCAATTCGAGGTAGAGAAGAGGTGTTTAAGGGAAAAGAAAGAGGAAGGAGATGGAGGATTACATTAATGAGGGATTTTTCAAACATCCATACACACTTTGTGATAAAATGCTTCTAAGCTGGGGTCATTTCCTGTACAGACAATGTAGCTTTTCTTAGACCCATACTGGGTCTAAAAATTACTGCCTGGCTGAATATCTAAGCTAATCAAGACTATGTTCCCTCAGCAGGTGAGGGATAAACTGAACACCATTTAATCAGGCATAATGGAAGGCTGAGTCTATAAAGTAGTGCATGATTAACCATTTGGAGGAGTCCTGCCAAGTCCACAGTACTAGTAGTGGAGCTCTTCTTTCATACATTTTGCAAATGTAATTCATTAGTAGGTACTTAACGCTAACCTATGCTGAAAAGAAAGCCTTGGTGCTGAGCTATACTGAAAAGTTGATGAAGTATAGTACAGCTTTGTATTAAATAATTAGTATTATCTTACATGGGAAGACCAAAATAATCACCCTCCTTTAACAGACATATGGGGTTAAAATTATTCAGCTCACATCTTTTGTTTTGAGAAATCTTCATGTTATGCTAGCTAAAGTGGGGATGGGACAGACAGCCCTCTGAGATTTTTGGTTGAATACATATTGAGATAAGCATCATGTAGTTGTTTTACCTGTGTGGGGACACTTATTCAGATTGGGCCCAGAAAAAGTCTCTAAGTTCATGCACTGCTTACCTCTTTTACAGCAGTAACATACAGCCTTGTCCAAAGCATTTCTCAATGAATGCCCATCAGCAGCCCAGAGAACCAGGTGCGGTGGGGGGAATGTTAATGTTGATTGTTAGTGTTGAACAGGACAAGACAATCAAAAAGTGGGGAATGGACCAATCAGAGGCAGTGGGAATAATTGTCTATAAAAATAACTGTGTGCTTTTTCTCAGAATTTATATACTCAAAATGGATGAAGTAAGACCAAGTGGTGGTCCCTAAATCCGGCAAAATCCAGCAATGCACTGGAAGCTTGGGAGTATTTACTGGAAACTTCTAAATTATATATATTCAAGGTATACAATATGTTGTCTTGATATACATACACTTAGTTAAATGCTTATCACAGTTAAGCAAATTAACTTATTCATCACTTTCCATAGTTGTCTTTTTGTGTTTGATAAGGACACCTAAAATCTACTTTTCTAGCACACTTCAGCATACAATAAAATATTATTATTATAACTATAGTCCCCAAGCTGTACATTAGATCGCTTAGACTTTTTCATCTCACATAACTGTAAGTTTATATGATTTGATCTACTTCTCATTTCCTTTCTCTCCCTACCCCGGTAACCACCATTTTACTCTGTTTCTATATGTTTGACTTTTTCTGAGATTCCAGATATAATTGAAATAATGCACTATTTTTCTTTATAAGTCTGGCTTATTCCACTTAGCATAATCCCCTCCAGATTCATCCATGTTGCTGCAAATGGTAGCATCTACTTATTTTGGAATGAATATCTATATGCATGTGTATACATACCACATCATTGATAGACACTTAGGTTGATTCCGTGTCTTGGCTACGTGAATAATGCTGCAACGAACATGGGAGTGCAGGTATCTGTGTGAGATGCTGATGTCATTTCCTCTGGGTACATACCCAGCAGAAGGATCGCTGGGCCATACGGTAGTTGTAACTTTAATTTATTGAGGAACTTCCACACTCTTTTCCATAATGACTGTACCAATTTACATTCCCACCAACAGTGTACAAGTGTTCCCTTTAACCCACAGCCTTGCCAGCACTTGTTATCTTTTGCATTTTTGATAATGGCCATTCTAACAGCTGTGAGGTAACGTCTCATAGTGGTTTTGATTTGCATTTCCTAGAAGATTAATGATGTCGAATATTTTTTCATGTACTTGCTGGTCACTTGTGTTCTCCTTTTGAGAAACGTCTATTCAGATTCTTTGCCTATTTATTAAATCAGGTTTGTTTCTTTTTTCTACTGAGTTGTGTGAGTTCTTTACGTATTTTGGATATAATTCCTTATCAGATAGATGGTTTGAAAATATTTTCTCCCAATCTGTAGGGTGTCTTTTTATTTTATTAATTATTTCTTTTGCTATGCAGAAGATTTTTAGTTTGATGTAGTCCCACATGTTTATTTTTGCTTTTGTTGCCTGAGCTTTTGGTGTCATATCTGAAAAATTATCACCAAGGCCAATATCAAGGAGTTTTTCTCCTATGTTTTCTTATAAAATTTTACATTTCCAGATCTTACGTTTAGGTCATTAATCCATTTTGAATTGACTTTTGTCTTTTGTGTGTGTTATAAGATAAAGATCCAGTTTCATTCCTTTACATGTGTATATCCAGTTTCCCCAGCACCATTTATTGAAGAGACTCTCCTTTCCCCATTATATATTCTTGGCAGCTTTGTCAAAAATCAATTGATCATAAATGTTCAGGTTTATTTCTGGGCTCTTCATTCTGTTTCATTGGTCTATGTATCCTTTTTTTTTAGATGGAGTTTTGCTCTTGCTGCCCAGGCTGGAGTACAATGGCACAATCTCGGCTCACTGCAACCTCTACCTCCTGGGTTCAAGCGATTCTCCTGCCTCAGCCTCCCAAGTAGCTGAGATTACAGGCAGCTGCCACTATGCCCAGCTAACTTTTTGTATTTTGAGTAGAGATGGGGTTTCAGCAAGTTGGCCAGGCTGGTCTTGAACTCCTGGCCTCAAGTGATCCACCCACCTCGGCCTCCCAAAGTGCTGGGATTACAAGCGTGAGCCACCACACCTGGCCTTACATATCTATTCTTATGCCAGTACCATACTGTTTTAATTAATATAGTTTTGCAATATGATTAGAAAACAGGAAGGCTGGGTGCAGTGGCTCATGCCTGTAATCCCAGCACTTTGGAAGGCTGAGGTGGGAGAATCTCTTGAGGCTAGGAGTTCAAGACCAGGCTGGGCAACATGGTGAGACCCCATTTCTACATAAAATAAAAATTAAAAAAAGAAATGAAAAAGTTTGAAATAATACGAAATATCTTTTCTGACCACAGTGGAATGAAACTAGAAATCAATACCAGCATAAAAATGGAAAAGTTTACAAATATGTCTATACAAACACAAGCTTGAACAACCACTGAGTCAAAAGAAATTTTAGGCTGAGTGCAGTGGCTCATGCATGTAATCCCAGCACTTTGGGAGGCTGAAGCAGGCAGATCACTTGAGGTCAGGAGTTTGAGACTAGCCTGGCCCATCTCTACCAAAAATACAAAAAAAAAAAAAAAAAAAAAAAAAAAATTAGCCAGGCATGGTGGTGAATGCCTGTAATCTCAGGTACTAGGGAGGGTGAGGTGGAGAATTGCTTGAGCCTGGGAGGGGGAGGTTGCAGTGAGCTGAGATCACGCCACTGCACTCCAGCCTGGGCAACAGCATGAGACTGTCTAAAAAAAAAAAAAGGCCAGGCACGGTGGCTAATGCCTATAATCCCAGCACTTTGGGAGGTCGAGGCTGGTGGATCACGAGGTCAGGAGTTCGAGACCAACCTGGCCAACATGCTGAAACCTCAGTCTCTACTAAAAATACAAAAAATTAGCCAGGCATGGTGTCACGCACCTGTAGTCCCAGCTACTCAGGAGGCTAAGGCAGGAGAACTGCTTGAACTCAGCAGGCAGAGGTTGCAGTGAGCCAAGATTGCACTACTGCACTTCAGCTTGGGCGACAGAGCGAGACTCCGTCTCAAAAAAAAAAAAAGGAATGAATTTTAAAATATTTTTAGACAATGCAAATGAAAACACAACTCATCAAAACCTACAGGATGCCACAAAAGCAGTCATAACAAGGAATTTTCTAGAGATAAACACATTTAAAAAGAAGAAAGATTTCAAATAGACGACATAACTTTACACATCAAGGAACTAGAAAATGAAGAACAAACTAAGCTCACTGTTAACAGAAGGAAGGAAATAATTATACAGATTAGAGCAGAAATAAATCAAATACAAACAGAAAAACTATTACAATGAATGCCTCAGAAATAAAAAAGATTATAAGGGATTATAATGAACAATTATACACCAACAAATTGGATAAACAAGAGAAAATGAATAAATTCCAAAAAACAATCAACCAAGACTGAATCCAGATGAAATAGAAAGACTGACAAATCAATAAAAAATAAAGAGACTGAAGTAATAATCAACTATCACCCAACAAAGAAAAACCTAGGACTAGATTGTTTCATGGCTGAATTTACGAAATTCAGATAATTAACATCAATACTCCTAAACAATTCCAAAAAACAGAAGTAGAGGTAATACTTCCAAACTCATTTTCTGAGGCCAACCTCATTCTGATACCAAAGCCACAGATATCACAGGAAAAGAAAATCATAGGCCAATGTCTCTGATGAACATTGATGCAAAAATCCTCAATAAAATAGTAGCAAATTGAATTCAACAATACATCAAAAAGAGTACACCAATGATCAAGTGGCATTTATCCATCCCTAAGATGCAAGGTTGGGTTAACATATACCAATCAATGCTATATACCACATTAACAGAATGAAAGATTAAGAACTACATGATCATTTCAATGGATACAGAAAAAGCATTTGACGAAGTTTATTATTTCATGATAAAAAATTCTCAACAAAATAGGCATAGAAGAAAATTTTCTCAACATAGTAAAGGCCATTTATTAAAATCCCACAGCTAACCTTGTAATAAGTTGGGCAAAGTGAAGGCTTTTCCTCTAAGATCTAATAAAAGGCAAGGATGTCCACTCTGGTCACTTCTATTCAACAAAGCACCGGAGGTACTAGCAAGAGCAAATAGACAAGGAAAGGAGACAAATAGCATCTGAATTTTTAAAAAATGAAGTAAAATTATTCCTGTTTTTAGATGACATGATCCTGTATGTAGAAAACCCTAAATACTACACACACACACACCTGTTTGAACGAATAATGAATTCAGTAAATTAGCAGGATACAAAAACAAATACAAAAATCATTCACATTTCTTCACATCAATGAATGATCTTTCTGAAAAAGAAATCAAGAAACCAATCCCATATATGATAGCATCAAAAAGGATAAAATATTTACAAAAAAAAATGTAACCAAGCAAGTGAAGGAATCTTTATACTGAAAACTATAAAACATTGATGAAAGAAATTGAAGAAGACACAAATAAATGGAAAGATATCCCATGTTCATAGACTGAAAGAATTGCTATTGTTGAAGTGTTCATATTACCCAAAGTGATACATAGATTTATAATCCCTATCAAATTTCAACGGCATTTTTCACAACAATAGAAAAAAATTTTAATTAAAAAAGCTATAAAAATTCTAAAACCCAAACCACACACAAAAAACTAAATAGCTGAAACAATTCTGAGATCTCGAGAAAGAAAAACAATGTCGGAGGCATCACACTTGCTAGAAACTTTTCAATGAAATCACTTTCTCAGTGAATTTTTACAAAAGGTATGGAGGTAATTAATTTTAGTATGGTGTTCTTCACTCACATATTTAACAAAAGAAAAACATTTTTGTTTGTTTTTCCGATACTGGCCAGAAATTTGTATTACATGGATAGAGTTTACCTAGAGAAATATTGGGCAGCCACTTGAGATCTCTGAACCAGCCAGTGCTATATGAAAAGAAAATAATTATGTCCTTACTTGCAACCAGGTTGCAACATGCAACCCGGGTGCGCACAGTTTTCCACAGTCTTATTTGCTGGCAATTCTTTGCCCAGGAAATCCCTCTTCCCATCACCCCCAAAACTGGTTTCTCCTCTGTTATGCACAGAAATTGCTTATATTTTCAAAATTAGATACACTCACCAACCCTTGGCTCAGGAAACAAATGCCTTTTCAGCTATAGAGCCCCTCCTTCCTCTTCCATGTCCCAGAAGAAATGATTAAAAACCAATATTTGTTGTCTCCTCTTTTCTCAGGGCTTTTACCAGAGTACCTGCTAAGGACATTTGCTGAGTCAGCACATGGTAACTGAGGATGCCCTGGTGCCCTCATAAGAGACTGAATTTTTCATGCATAGCTGCGAAGAAGGTGAATGTGCTAGGCATACAAATAGCCCACATTTGGCATACCTTTGAATGAAGGCACTTAGTACAAATTCTTATGTATACTATATCTATAATTAAAACCAGCAATCCCATCATCTGGGATGATTTTCTCTGGTGTGACATATATCCAATAGCTACCACCAGAGAAGCCCCATGCCTGCCTCAAGATCTTTTAATTCAACAAGACAAAACTGCATCTGGAAAATTTTCAGCAAATACCTCAGGCCTCCAGGAGGTTATTTAAAAGGCTTTTCTTTATAGATTCTAAACCCAAAGCAGGGCACCATTGTTGTTCTTTACTAATTCCTCACAGGACCTAAGCTCTGAGGCACCTACTGAATTTCCATATTAATTATCTAGGTTCGTGCTGACCTTAAGAGCTGAGTAACAAATGTGCTTTTTCCTGGAAGCAAGAGGGACAATATATCCTTCTGTAAATTTTTAATTTTTTATATCAAACAATTTAAAATTCACCAAAAAAATGCCAAGAACAGTACCAAGAAATTCTAAATACTCTTCATCCAGATACCCCATTTGCAATATTTTCATGCATTCACTTTATAATTATTTCAACACACACACACAGCTTAGGCTGTTCAATCACCACATGAAGGGCAATTGCCTTGGAACAAGAAATAAACATCCATATATCGTAAATTATTTTCTGAATCATTTGACAGTAAGTACTTCATTGTGTATTTCCTAAGAACAGGGACATAGTCTTATATAACTAAAGTGTAATTATCAAAATTAGTACATTTATGATTAATATAATTCATATTATCTAATCTAGAATCCATATTCAATTTTATGAACTGATCCAATACTGTCCTTTATAGCTAACCCTCCCCCCAAGTCCAGGATTACCTATGGCATATAGTTATCATATTATTTTAGTCTCCTTTAAGAGACTAAATGGAAAGAGTCCCTCAATAGTTTCTTGTCTACATGATATTGACATCTTGGATGAATAGAGGACTGTTACTTTATAACTTGTCTCTGAGTTTGGGTTGATCTGATGTTTCCTAGGATTAGGTCAGTTTATGAAAGTTTGGCAGGAATATTACACAAGCGATCATTACATTTGTAATGTTCTCATTACATCCC
Source organism: Homo sapiens (assembly GCF_000001405.40). Classification (NCBI taxonomy): domain Eukaryota; kingdom Metazoa; phylum Chordata; class Mammalia; order Primates; family Hominidae; genus Homo; species Homo sapiens. The sequence continues at coordinate 6,508,370 of NC_000020.11, read as the reverse complement.
ATCAAAAGATAAAGGTCAGTTTGTTCCATTGTTAGTGATGTCAGCTTTGATTACTTAGTTACTGCAGTGTCTACCAAGTTTTTCCACTGATAAGTTACTATGCTTCATTTTGTAATCAATATATAAAATCTAGGAAGATAATTTAAGACAAGGTAAATGTCCTCTTTCTCATCAGACTTTCACCTAATTTTTGGTATTCAATGATAATTTTTACAATATTGCGATTGTCAAAATTCTTCATTCTGGAGAAGGGAAAGTTCTTCCTTACAATAGAATGCCAAATAGAAAATTCACTTTTCAATGTTAAAGTTGGCAAACAACCTGACATCTGCTTTACCAGCTAACTAGGGTTTTCTGGTTGGCCTCTATTATCTTTCTAGAATCATAATTGGGCCTTCTCTTGAGGATTCTCCAGGATATAGCAAATTCTTTTTGTATAGCAGAGTTGTACTATAATGGGGAATATCAACGTATCTATCTACCTATTTTAATTTAACAACATGTATGCAGCATATACTACATGCCAGGCACTCTTTTAAATGGTTTACAAATTTAAGTCTTTTAAGACTTATTATCATGGCCCAATGAGGTGAAGTAGGTACTATTATTATTCCCATTTTACAGATGAGGAAATGGAGGCCGTCAACTTGAATAATGTGTTCAAGTTCAAGCAGCTTATAAGATTGATGTCATGAACCAAAGCAATCTGGCACCCAAATTTGTCCTCTTAAACCATTCTACATGCTGCCTTAGCACAGGTGCTCATTTCTTTCTTCCCCAAATTCTAAGATGCTTTAACTTTATATCGGTGAAAAGAAATTACCTACTTTCAACAACAAGCAAGTAGCTTGGCACTTTTTAATTAATGATATCAAATGATACTGTTACTAGTGCTTCCCCCAAAGAGAAGGATCATAAAGACAGAACCAACCCAGAAAACTCATTTACAGGAAGAGTTGAGGATTAATGCAGCCAAGTGAGGAAAGGGAAAGCAAATCTGTGCTGGAGATTCAGGGAAGAATTGCTTCCATATGGCCTCAGGACACCTGCCTTAATCCCTCCAGGTATGGAAGGAGAATCTGAGTTTCTGAGGGAGTCCATTGGTGTTCCAAGGCCTGGGAAGGAGACAATGCGAATTTGGGCAGCTCATGCTGATAGAGATGTACTGAGGAGTAGGAACTATAATTCAAGTGGCAATGGATGATGTGAGGTTTGGGACATGAGGCAAGAATGTTAACAAAAGCACCAGGGTCCCGTGCTCCTCAGTCTCATCAGCCACAAGGGACTTTCCGGAGCAGTTGGGATTCCAACAACTTTACTAATGGGGCTCAGGGAGAAATTAGACTTCTCCTAGCCTGTGGAGATGGATGCTCCTGTACATCCTCCCCATTGCTTTTCTCCAAGCAATGTAACAGTTGTTACAACCAGATCAGTTGGGTTATATTTGCTCAGAGAAAGTTCTTTAGAAAGTAGATCACAGGTCTGCAAACTTCTCCATAGTCCCACTAGGCACTGTGTGTTTGAAAGCTTAAGAAAATAAAGTACTCATCCCACTATAACTACTCCAGGTTAATTTTTAATTGCTTATATTCTAGGCTTTCCTGGAGACTTTAATTTGTTGAAATAAGAGTGGAGTAAGACTTTACAAAATAACTGTTGAGCAACTAAAATATCATCATGATGATTTGAATTAGCATCTATTCAATAAAGAGTAAAACACAAAGCACAAGGAAGAATTTGTGTATATTCACTGTTCTAGTGATTAGTAGCCTCTCTCAAGATAAAAGATGACAGAGAAATGGAAACTTCCCTCTGGGCCTCCACCATATGCATCCAACTCTTCAAGTTGTAAATGGTGTGGTAGATATAGTACTGCTCTCCAAATTGTCTTGTGCCTATGGGCTGTGTTCCCTCCATCCCCTTGTAGTTTAAAAGAGCCATAAGACCAAATCTCATCATGCTCTGTGGATATAAGGGCAGTGTGTCACTTCTGGGCTAAATCATGCAAGAGTAGATTGAGTTCTCTGTGTGCTTTTTTTTTTTTTCTTTTTGTGAGATGGAGTCTCACTCGGTCACCAGGCTGGAGTGCAGTGATGCAATCTTGGCTCACTGCAACCTCCACCCCCCAGGTTAAAGTGATTCTCCCGCCTCAGCCTCCCTAGTAGCTGGGACTACAGGCACCCGCCACCACATCCAGCCTCTGTGTGCTTTCTTAAAAGGTCTCCACAGCCCTGGAGGCCTTATGATGGAATCCAAATGGAAGCAGCCTAGGCTGTTCAATCACCACATGGAGGGCAGTTGCCTTGGAACAAGAAATAAACTTGTTCCATTAAGGCATTGCCACGTGGAATTTGTTTGTTACTGCCTGCTTATTGTATCCTGACTAATACAATAAAAATACATTGATTAGGAGCACAGAAGCATTCCATTAAAATTAACACATACATGTGCCTAAAGCAGGTTCTCAACCAGGGGGTGTATTTATTTCACCCTACTCCCTGGGAATTTGGCAATGTCTGGAGATGTATTTGGTTGTCACAGTAGTCTGGTTGTCATAGCAGGAAGGGGATGTGCTTGTAGCAGGCCCAGGAATGCTGCTAAATAGCCTACAATGCATAGGACAGCGTCCACATCAAAAGAATGATTTGGCCCAAAATGTCAGTAGTGCTGAGGTTGAGAAACCCGGGTCTAAATAAAAGAGCTAGCATCTTAATTTTATGCGGGAAATTACCTACTTGCTTCACAAAAATCCACCAAAGAAAGACACACTGATGCCTTTTATTTTGTAAAGGTTTGCCAACGACCACCTATTTAAAAGAATTTTTAAATTTATAACAAATTTCTATTTGTGTAAAAAAAATCCACTACACTGCTTCTTTTCTCCATTTTCACAAAACAATGAAACATGAAACAACAGTGTAGTTAGATCCATGTATACTTAGCAAGTATTCATTGCTCCTTTTTTAATAGATACAGAAATTCATGCTCAAGAGAGATTTCTTAATTGAATCCCCTCATTTTTTAGAGAAATAAACTGCCGTTCAGAGAGGTTAAGTTATCTCTAGTGCCCACTGGTTGAAGAGTATACCAGAACTAGAAACTGGTATTTCTCAACTCTCACCTCACTGTTCTTTCCACTACATCATACTGTTCTCCTTCATTAGAAAATGTGAGGTCAAGGTCTGAGGAAGGTAAACAGCTGCTCGAGCCATAGATCGGGTTGGAACACTGGTGGGGCATCACGGTCAAAAAGGATGCATAGTTTCCAGGTGAGAGTATCTGGTTTCGAAGGGAAGGGCAGACTAGGAAAGGCAGGAAGCCTGCACAGTGAGCTCACCAACATGGCGTGTCCCCAGTCATCCACTGCTCCACAGACCCATTTGGTCATATCTCTGCATCATCTTTTCTCCCTGGTAAGTCATACAGACATCGTGCAAGACAAAACTGAACCACAGCTTGGCAAGAGCTGTGAGAAATTTTACAAACTCATTGAATGAAAGCAGGATGCGGAGTTGGGATATCTAATTCCAGCTCTAACTATGAGTTATGTGGCCCCATCAAGCTTCCATGGGCCTAAATTTTCTCACCATGAAAGGAGGGGCATGAATTAAATAATAATAATTATTATTACATTATCAATCATAAAATAGCAGCTACTATTGTTGAGTACTTTCCATATGCCAGGAACTGTGCCAAATGCATTTTATTACATACGCAGGTAGCATTATTACATCCTTTACAGAGGAGGAAACTGGGACTCAGAGTTGTTATCAATATGATAGCATGATAAATAAGAACAAGGATTTTAATAAAGGTCTACCTGGCCACATACCCAACATCCTTAAATGACCGTGCTCTGCTCCCTGCCACTCCTCCAACTCTGCATCTCTGGGATCCGTTCCCAGTTGTTTAAGTTTCTGTGAGTGATTTGTGGAATCTCAATAAATTTGAAGCATAAGCTTGGGTCCTTCAGGCAAGATTAACCCACTCAGCATTTTTACTCCTCATCCCAAAACCCTAAAGGTGAAATGGCTTGTTCATATACCTCACTGGGTTTGGTTCTCACTTATCTAACAAAGAAAATGCAAATAAAAATTTAGAAGCCAGAAGCCCAAGGGATCCAAACTGAAATCAAAGGTCTGTAGAATATCAAGGTGAGCTGGAAATATACAGGGTAATCAAAAACATAGTTTCTTTCAGATGGTCTCTGTTTACAGGCATGGCCAATAAGGTTTACTTTCTATTGTATTACATGTGTGCATTCTACTTTTCTTTAAAAATAAAGAAAATGATGGTTCAGTACAAATACACAGCAAAGGTCTCCTTCGGATAACCCCCAACGTCGCGGAGACAGCAGGTTTTACCCTGCTCCACAGCGTTTAAAAAGGATGTCCAAACTCACAACATTTAAAAGGATGTCCTAAACTCAAATTCCTTTGCCCCTACCCTCCGTATATTTGGGGATTCACTCCATTCTCCCCATGGAGTGGGGAGGAGGAGGAGGTGGTCCAAGTTTCCCTTCTCCAAGTCACCTTCTGTTGCAGTGTTCTGCTTCTGATTAATTCTTGAACTCTCTTATCTCACAGCCCTTGGCTGATGTTCATGCTTCTCCATTCTGTGCTAACCCATATGTCAATCAATTTAATCAGTTTCCTCAAAGTGCCACTCGTCTAAGGCAATAGAACTGTGTCAAAGAGTAAGGATAATGGTGGGACAGGAGAAAACACAGAACATAGAACAGAAAACATTTTAATATTGCATTAGCCAGCAGTGTTGTCAAAAATATGCAAGCCACTCTCACATCCTGGAATTGGCCATCATCTGTGATTTGGGTCCCTAGTCTCCTCTAATTATCTTATCTTCTTCTCATTTCATGAATCCTGCCTTCTCCCTCTTGGGCTGTGTGTAGAAAGAAACTATATTTTTTAAAATTTTATTATACAGTGCAACTTTGTTCTTTTGGTCTCAGTTGAGCCCATCTCGAGCAAGCCTGAGATTGTGAACTTTGTCTGGAAGGCTCAAGGTGGTGAAATCAGTCACTAGGCCAGGTTGGCACACCCCAGAGAATCACCTTCCTTGGGAAAAGTTGGGCTTCAAGGAGGTTTGTGGTTGGAGTGACAGATGTTATTACAAAGCCTCCAGAGATAAGAGTGACAGAAGAGCTAAGCAGGAATCCAGACAGCCTTTCACTGCTGGGGAAGTTTCCTGTTTTCATCTCATGTTTTCAGCACTTCCTCAGTGTTCAAATGTTGTAAAGCATCTCCCAGGAATAGAAATTCCTGTGGGAGGGATTCAAGTTCAGGGAGTAAAGGTAATCCAGTAATAAAGATATACAGGGTATACGCCAAACACTGACTGGGCCCACTTTCATCATTTAGCAGAGAGTGTACATTTTGTTTTTTAGTTACTAAACCATACAAATAATTGGAAGTAGATAACATAAATAAGACAAAACCATCATTGGGATTATTTCATTTTGAATGAAGGTGAATTAAAAAGTAGCCACCTACACAAACAAAATCTTCCTGAATCATGAAATCTTAACAACTTTTCAGGTAAGAACTGCTTAGATGTGATAAATGTTCGTGTGCACCATTCGCTTTCATCCGTTCTACTTTTGGTGACTTCTAACCTTTGTCATTTCATCCTCTGGGCAAATATAGGGAAGAACAAAAGCTAGATTTCTGGTGAGAGGCAAAGACTTTGGGAGATGTGTAAAGTAAGAGACCCTCAGAAGCGTGGATTATCTGTTGCCCCTCTCCTTAGAGACGGTCTCTGCAACTCTCTTCCCCATTCACCACCCTTTTTCCAGGCAGCTCCTGACACATAGGCTCACTGATTAGCAGAGGGGGAAGCCAGCCAATTTTCTTTTTATCCAAGTCAGTGGCTATAAGTCACTCATCATTTACAGCAGTTCTCTTGAGACCTGAGAGCTGACCTTATGCTTCTAATCATTTGGGAGGTTCCTGACCTCATCTTGTCCTTCATTCTGGCATGGTTTCTCCAGTGACAACTAGCAGTGGCTGAGATAAGGTCCACAGACCTTAGATTTCACTATGAATGTGGATCTGCACTAGAAACTAAAGCCAATTCTTTTCTGCTGTAGCTAGTGAAGTCTGAATTGTAAAATCACTTGTGGGTGAATGACGTTCCTTCTCTCCTCTATCTTCTTACCCCAGTTCTCAAACTTTCTAACTTATTTCTTAGGTAGGTATCCCAACCATACACTGGTGCAAATAGCCCTCATGGCTTGATTAGGGATCACTTGCAAAAGGTGTTGTGAGAACCACAAGTAGGGATAACCCACCTTCTGTTTCTGTTCTGGTTCCTGACAAACACACAGTTATGTGTGTGTGTGTCAAAAGTCTTTTTTTTTTTCTTTTTTTCTTTGAGAAGGAGTCTCACTGTGTCACCCAGGCTGGAGTGCAGTGGCGCGATCTCACTCACTGCAAGCTCCGCCTCCCGGGTTCATGCCATTCTCCTGCCTCGCCTCCCGAGTAGCTGGGACTACAGGCGCCTGCCACCACGCCCAGCTAATTTTTTTGTATTTTTAGTAGAGACGGGGTTTCACTGCGTTAGCCAGGATGGTCTTGATCTCCTGACCTTGTGATCTGCCCCCTCAGCCTCCCAAAGTGCTGGGATTACAGGCGTGAGCCACCGCACCCGGCCTCAAAAGGCTTTTAACAGGGACTTGGGGCTTGGCTTCCAAGCCAGACTCTGCCACTTATTTTCTGTATAGCTATGACATGGTCACTTAACTTTTCTAGACATTAAATTCTTAATCTTAAAAATAAGAAATCAGAATAGAAGACCTAGAGAGGATAATAAGAATATCTACATCTATTACTAAACAGCTACATTTACTGTGAGCCAGTTCCATTCCTTACCAGGGACAGTAGGAAGCATCTAGTTGGGCTGAAACCTAAATTAGAATAGCTATGATTTACCAGAAAACTCCACTAAATCCTCAAAGCCCTCAGCCAGGGGCAACCTGAAAGACTGTTGGACTCCTGATATGAAAAGCAATGGTTTAGGGATTCTCTGTGACCCTATTCACACAATGAGTCACTGAACCATGATTCACTTGTGCTTGGGAGTTTGGCAAAGAATGGCAGGACGAGGAAGGATGTTGTTCCTCTGTGCCCCAGGATTCTGAATCATCAGGTGTCTTTCCAGCCCCATTTGTCTCCTGGGAATGATTGTGCTCTCTGGTGTATGAAGCTCTATTGTTTGAGGCATGTTAATAAAATTGGTCTTTCAGACACCAATTATTGGACCCATCTGTAAAGTTCAGGATGAGCTAAGTTATGCTGCAGTAACAAAAACAAAGAAAACTCAGTGGGCTAAAACATCAAAGGTTTAATTTATTGCTCATGCTACATGTCCATCATGGGTCAGCTGGGGGCTGAGTTCAGCACTGTCTTCATGCTGGGAACCAGGCTGACAAAAGAGCCTCTATTTGGAATATTGCTGGCCACTGTGGCAAATGGAAAGACAGAGAATGGTGAATCTCACACCGACTCTGAAAGCTTTCTCCTATAGGTAACTTGGAATAACTTCTCATGTCCTTGGCTAAAGCAGATAATATATGACTATACCCAACATCCAGATCCAGAAGGAAAAGAGGAAACATTTTTTAATAACACTGGTGATGAACACAGAGATTTTTCTCTGTTTCAGCATACTCAGGCAGCCTGTTCGTGTGATGACAAACCTATGTAGACAATGCCCACATATGGCCATATTACCCAGCTGTAAAGACCCCAGAAATCTTCCATATCCTTGCATAACCCTTTATACCCCTCAGTAGACTTGAAGACCATATCTCCAGACCAATGAGAAGAAAAAGCTAAGGTATCACTCCTGAGTTCCTAAAAACGTGCACTTAGAAACACCTTGCAGAAAATAGAGCTGGCAAAGTTGCTCTGACAAAGAGGAACAATAAAAAATCTTGAACAAAACTTTCTGTTGCTTTTGCTCAAAGGTAGAGTCCTCACCAATCCCAAATATATTAGTGTTGGGGTTCAGGACATGCCACCCCAAAACATGACTGCAGGAGACTAGAATGTGCCACCATATAATATAGCTGTTTAGTATATTGATTATTTCAAGCTGGTTACTTTAAGAAACTGCAGACACAGAAGTAGCACTGAAAAGCTGTTCCTTTGTAAAGGAAATTTACATCTGTAAGGAAACTTTTATTAGTAAGAGTATCTGTATCAGGAAGACAGCTGCTCTGAGATGACTTTTACCATCTGAGACGCTTTTGTCTACATAACAAGACAATCTTCATTTACCATACATTTCCTCCTCCTCCTCCTCCCCTTCCATAATTTGTCTCCACCACTCCTCAGAAGCTCCAGGCCCTTGTTGCTTTCTGTAGCTAAAGATGCTGCTCTCTGAGCTTCAATCTGTCATCCAAAAGACCACCAGGATGGAGTAATAGAAAGGAGAGCTTTATTGATTATATCAATTTGCAAGTGGAAAGAGAAAGTTTCCAGCATGGATAGAAGGTACTCTGTCTCTCTTTGAAGAGGGGAAAAACAGGTTGGATTTTATGCCTCAGAGGGCTAGTATCATGCATATTCAGCATGTTTGGGGGAAAAGCTATACATATTTATGAGGGTTGCTGAGTACAAGTGCAATGGGTAAACATATACATAACCATACAGTCCATGTTCACTTTAGGGCAGGGTTTTAGCATTAAAATAAGGTAGAATTTGGTTTTATGTCAAAAGGTGAATTACAGGATAGAAAGACAGTCTGTGCACACCCTCTATAAGTAGATAAAACTGGCTTGAGGTCTGAAACAGCCCATTATAAAAGAATGTTTGTAAGGATGGTCCTGTACCCAAACAGAGTTGTAGTGGTCTGGGTTGTAAATCAGCCTGATAGCTTCTATGGTTAGGGAGTTTAGCAAGGGTGTGGTTTTTCTTATATGTTGTAGGAACTTAGAAACCTGCCTTGCTAGCTGAGCCTGGAACCCTCCACCTGTAGGTAACTTTTGTTTTCTTAATCTTAGGGCTCGTCTTAATTGATAAAGGAGCATCTATTTTGGTTTCTCAGATCACAATTATATCCTTTTGTGAATATCGTATTTTTGTGGAACTTGCACGCATATGTGGGTACATATGTAATTAAAATGGTTTTTCTCATTTTAAGCTGTTTCATGTCAATGTAATTCATAGCTCAGCCAAAGAACCTAGGAGGTTTGAGGGAAGTCATTTTTCCCTCTCTTATGCCAAACACAAACTGAATCTACTTTCATCATTTTGCAGTGTGTATATTTTGTTTTTTACTTACTGAGTCAAAAATATAATTGGGTGGGAAGAGATGTAGCAAAGGAATAAGACAAAAAAATGGAGTTATTTTATTCCGAATCATCAAATTAAAAAGTAGGTACATACACACATGTAAATGAAAAAGTAACTAGGAAAACAAGGCATTGGTACTAGCAACATATAAACGTTCCAGTTGCTTCACAGCATTGGCAGCACTTGATGTTGTCACTCTTTTTTACATTTTGTCCATTCTGGCTTTTACTTGCATCTCATTGGCAACTAAAAAAGTTCAGAAATCTTTCCTTGAATTGATTAAAGAAGAGCATAAAATTCCTGAAGGATTAAAGAGCCAGTAAAGTCTTCTGAAAGATGGGGAAGGGGATGATATTTTGAATCTGGGATTTTCAGAGCTGCCTTTGGATCTCACTACAGAACAGACACACTTCTTCTTAAAATGGAGCTGAAACTTTTCCTAATCCAGAAAGAAGTGGAGAGAAGTGCAGAGTGTGTGATTGTCCCAAGTCCCCTCCATCAACTCTAATGGCCTGATTCCTGCCATCGTCATGAAAACATAGAAAGCTTGATTAAAAAAAAAAATTTACAGGCAATGCCAGCCACTGAAACAGGAGCTGATTGGCTCCAGCATCTTCCTTTTTGCCCTTTCCCACCCTTGGCCGGCTTCTCTACCTGGTCACTGCTGAGGCAGGAGACCAGAACTGATTGAAGAAGCCTAGACTATGAGAAGACCACGAATTTTTAGGTGAAAGGAATTTTCATAAAACAATGGCAGAGAATCTTCTGTTCTCAGAGTAGTAACTATTCCTGGAAATGACAGAGCTGGGGAAAGTTCACTTAGATTGATACTCGATTTTTCAATGAATAATAGGTATAACATTTTAAACTACTTAAAAGTATGTGAATATCTTATTACCATGCAGATCTGGGGCACAGCAAATCAACAATGATTCAAAGAAAACTGTGGATACCATTTTACAGATGTGCTAACGATTGCCTACTTACTTCCACTGCGAATGACTCTCAAAATTTGTAGAACTTGAGCAACTTGAAGATTTCCATGTTACACAAATTTCAAAGATCTCCAAAGTTCTCTTTTTGTTGTTGTTATTTTGAGTGACAAAGTAAACATAAGGAAGAAGCCACATTTCTCTAAGCTTAGTGTAGGGAAAAGTTACATGTCTTCTTTTGAAACAAATGCAAAGTTGTGATTCCTGTGAATTTAGGCTTTGGGAAAATTGTTTAGGTCTTCTCGCTGTCTGAAATAAGTTGGAACAACATTTAAGTATTCCAAAAGCCAAGCCTAGCTCATCTTCCAACTGACGGCTAAAGAATTCCCCCAAGATAAGCTAATCAATTCATCTATAAAAATTAACTGTTTAAGGAAGAAGAGTTTCTATTACAGGAATATATGGGGAAGTATATCCATTTTAAAATAAAGACACAGACATAACTGCAGCTGTGGCTACAGATACTTTGCTGCTTTATTAGAATATAAAAAGAAGGAAATATCAACTGAGAAACTATGTGTTAGACAAAGGTCCATTACATTTATGAAGTTAGAGAAGTGTCTAATTACTATACATATAATGTAAGTGAACTTTTACTAAATGAGACTTTATTTTAATTAAAAGGCTTTTTAAATTAAAATTAATAAATAAGTTTTTGAATGTTACAGAAAGGTTATTTGTAAACAAAAACTAGAATCTAGGTGAACTCTACATGTCATGTCCCCCATTCATTCTTGCCTCTGATTAAGTTCTAAAACATTTCATTAGTTTTACACTTTCCATTGTTACTATACTAATAATGGTTGGTGAATCAAATGTTCTATTATTTCATGATCCACAAATAGAAAAATATTAAAGTTAACCAAAACTGAAATGGGTAATATTGATGGGAGTGGAAGTCAGAGGGTGGAAGAGAACAGGCCCTTGAGAAAAATCAGGTGCCTCTGCCCACATCCAGGAGCACCTCACAGAGGGCAAAGAAAGGCCAAGTGGTCCTTCAAACACTCTGAAGTGCTACTTTCTAGGTTGACCCATTAATCCACAGGCCAAGGCACTGCTGAGCATTATCTGCTGAGATGCCCTCCTCAATGAGCCCTGTGTCAGGAAATATCATCAGGCAGTTTCTAAACTAGTCCACAATCATCACTATTCTCTTGAACTCTGAGGCCCATCCAATCTACATCAATGTACAATGTTAAGCATCTCCATAAGATACCAAACAAACAAACATAACAATGCCTTTGGAGATATCCCAACTCATCTTGGTTCAGTGAGTTAGTGATCTGGGGATTGAGAATATGTAGGTGAGGAGTGGTGATGAAATCTCTTGGTTTGGGCCCTGATGGCTGCACAAAGGATGTTTAAATATTCAAGAAAATTTAGAATACAGGTAGTCACGTTGCAGACTTGATTCACACTAGAAGTAGAAGTTGGGGGTGAGATAGGAGAAAAAGGCAGAGGGGAAGAAACAGCACGAAGTGAAGGTCAGAAGTGAGGGGAGTGAAGGTCAACCTATCAGCACTTCAGTGAGTCCAACTTGCTTTCAGAATCCTGTAAAAGTTGGAAAATGAAAAGCAGGTATTTTTGGTAAGAAGCAAAAGGTTGTAGGAGTCACAAAACATGCACCTTCTTAATGACTGACCAAGCAATTTGTAATGAGGCAATGCTAGTTACACTTTTGCTATTTTCAATTATTTTAAGAAATGCCAATGAATTTATGATATTAATTGATGTCCCTAATGGAGAAGGAAATGGGTAGGAGGCCAGGTTTGGCCAAGATTCTTTCTGAGATAGAAAAGGAAGTGCTGATGGAATTTGTTTTGTGTGTATATCTGGAAACACAGACAAGAGAGGTTGGGAACAGCCACCCGGAGGAATGAAGATTTCAGGTGCAGGTGGACAAGGGGATCCTAAGGGTGTGGCTCAGGTAACATGCCTTGTAATACTATTCAAAGCCTCTTACAGAGACTTGAGTAAATATTTTGTGCTTCTGGGGTTATATTAAGGTTTAAATACATTTAGAGCTTTATCATGGTCACTTATTAACAGAATTACCTTGGATAACTTTCCTGGCCTTTCTAAGCCATGATTTCATTATCTGTAAATTAAAGTAATAATAGGGCCAACTCCTTAGGGGTTTTCTCAGCTTGTGTGATAATGTGTTAAAGGTTTAACAAATGTGGTCCTTTGAATTATTGTTTCCAGTTTTTCACCCTTCTCTGTATCCATACCTTTTCCCATGTGACTTAGCCATTCTTCTTACTAAAGGCAGCGTTTATTTCCCTGTGCCATGGGTGTCAAGGTTGGCCATACAATTTGTTTTACCAATGGAATGTAAGTAGAGCTTATAGTATATACCTTCAGAGGAATACCCTGTGGAAGCTTCCAACTTCTTTCATGAGTAGACTATGACCCTGGTAGCTGCTGCCTCTTTGTTCTGGGGTCCAGAATGAACACTCATGAAACACATCTGAGCCAAACCTTCATAACCTTGAATGTGTGAATAAAGGTTTGGTGTATGTCATCGAGTTTTGGGCTGGCTTCTTATGCAGCAACAGTTGACTGATACTACATCATCTTGGGGTGTGGCCTGGGAGTCTGTGTTTCCAAGCCTGTGTACAATAATAGAACTTGTGAAACACTGCACTATTCTTACTGTTCTAAAGCAGCCCCACTTTAAAACAAACCACCTGAAACTTGCCTGTGAAAAAGACACATTCACAGCTGGTTGATTTGTGGGAAAATTATCCTTTCTTTGAAATGTTCCCAAATGTCCTCTCCTACACTTTTTTCAAAGATTATTCTACCCTCTCTTTCTCCACAAGCCTCTTCCAAATAGATTTCTTATTCTCTCTCTTCATGTAGATTACCCCAAATATTTCGTTAAAAGAAAAACTTCAGAAGTTTTAAGTTAAATGCATAATTAAATTTAACAGAGTTTGATTAAGCAAAGAACAATTTACGAATTAGACACCCCCTAATCAGAATAGGCTCAGATTTGCTCTGATGCTGTTGCACGGTCGGAGAGGATTTGTGGACAGAAAAAGGAAAGTGATGTACAGAAAATAGAAGGTACAGAAATGGCTGAATTGGTTACAGCTCTGTGTTTGCCTTATTTGGATACAGTTTGAGCAGTTGGCTGCATGTGATTTGCTGACACTTAGTGATTGGTACAAGAGTAGGTTACAATAGGTACAAGAGTAGGTAACACATCCGCTTAGGTTACCATTCACTATATACACAGGAAACTTTAACCCAAACTTAAAATATGTAAGGAGGTAACTTTAGGCTAAACTTAATTTAACCTTAACCCTGACCTCTTCCACAAGCCTACTTGACTCCTCCAGCCCATGTTGATCTCCCCTTTCCCTGTCATCAGCACGGAACAGTTGAGCCCAACTCCATAACAATTTCATGAGTTTCTTTCTTCCTCCAGGCTAAACTTAGAACTCCTCAAGGCAGAATCCATCCTTACTCCTTCTGTATTTCCCATAGTCTCTAACATAAAAAGAGATAAACAGTCGAGGCTTTCACATTGAGCCGATAGTCAATATTGTATTGACTTCATGGATTTGTAGAAGCTCACCCTGGTGAAACTGAATGTTTCATTTATAAGAGAAGTTAAGATTTATTCCATAGGACAATGAACATGAAATTGTATCCCAAAATGGAAAAGCAGCACCTTTCCCCTTTCTTTGATATTGGTAATCCAGTATCAAGTTTTGTGTTCCTATTTGGAAGCAGGGTCTGTGAGTTTCGCAGAAACATAATTGTTTCCAAGCTGGAAAAAAAAAAGTTTATGTTTCCAAAGTCTCACTCACCCCAAATAAATCTGCCCTGCTTTCATTTTATTTACCTTGAAAGATGTAGAGTTGTTTGAACCTTAGAAGGGTTTCCACTTGCAGTTTCAGGAAGTAGTAATATCTCATAACTTTACCCACAGCTTAAAATTCATTAAGATAGCTAAGCTGAAAAATGTGCTGCTGATTTTGATTCATAAACAACTTTTATCTCCTTTCTGGTTATCATTCTTTCAATCAAGTGGACAACTATTTATGAAGAAGGGCATTCAATCATCATCTAATTTTGCTAACCATTATTTCTGAGATTGCTGGAAAATAAATAACCCAATGAGGTGTTTACTTCTAGTCAAATAATGTATGTAATCTAAACGTTTTAAATCTATTACTTCTTATATCTGGATTAAATTTACATTAACAACTTTTTAAAAATACTATCAAACTGTTAAGCAGTATCTACTAAAGCTAAACATATCTGCCCACCATACAGCATATATGCTTCTGAAAGTCTTGGGCATATTCACCAGAAATGATAGTATATATACACAAAAGACTTGTATAAAAATTTTCACTGGGGATGCAAACTGGAAACAATCTGATGCTCGTCAACAGTAGAATGGATAAACTGTAGTATAGTCACACGACAAAATATTACACAACCATGAAAAAGAATGGAACAACATGGATGGATCTCATAGACATAACTTTGAGTGAAAGAAGCCAGACCCAAAGGAATAAATTCTGTATTATTCCATTTATGTGAATTTCAAGAACAGGCAAAATTTATCAGTGGGAATAGAAATTAAAATAGTGTTTCTTGGGGGTAGGTATTGACAGAGAAGGGGCAGCAGGGAGTCTTTCAGCTGCTAGAAATGGTCCATATCTTAATCTGGATGATGGTTACATGGGTGCATGTATTATAAAAATTCATCAAGCTATAGACTATAAATAGGTGCACTAGGTATATTAATAACACCTTTAAAAAAACAGAAAAGAAAATTTCACCTAGAATTAGGGAAAAAAACAAATATTTAAAAGGCCAGTGTTCATAGCTTGCCAAGTTTAATTTGTCAAGCCTTATTAGGTTTCACCATACCATGATATTAAGACAAATAGATAGAACTAGTTGACGAAGGGTTAAGCTTCCTCATGAGACTTTGTGTATGGTAAAGCTTTCAGTTACTTATAGACCTAGTCTAGGAGTGTACAAAGACACATATCAACAAAGACAAGCCATTCTGATGCACTGTCTCAATATCCATCAGTGTTATATACCATGTCAACTTGCCTACAAACTGACAAGATAGCGTTAATGCCGCAGTAAGGGAAACAGAAACAAAGGCAGGGCTGATGCTGCCTTACAATGAGGGCCTATTCTCTCCCTTGCACCTGAGAACACCAGTGAACTTTGTCATTGTTCAGCAGCAGAAACCTTGCAGTTTCTCTCAGCCTTAGCTCTTCATCACATGACCACATTATTTCCTTACGAGGTAACCCTGCCCTGTGTCCCTTGACAACGGAATCCTCCAAACCCATAAACTGTGTCATCAAGATTGACCAACCAGAGTTCATCGTTCCTCACCACCCTCCTTCATCCTGAGCTGTTTGCTCTTATTGTTCATTTGAGAAAAAAAAATTAAAAAGAATGAAAGGAAAGGAAAGACAGCAATCCAAGTCCAGTCACAGGCAGCACAAAAGATTCATTTGTGAAGGGCAAAGATTAACAAGGCTAATAGCTCTAGGGGTTTGGGGAAAGTCTGTCTGATTCAGAGAATCAACAGGGAAAAGTTGAGTATAGACAAATTGCTTGCTCCAGAGGGAATACTATGTGGGAGGGGATGGAAATAACTCCATTCCGGGAGCCTGTTTTACTTTCTGTGGTGTTGTGCCAACAGATGCAAGGACAGCCTCGGTGGCAGAATAATATGCCTGTGATAAAAGCCACTGTCTCCTTTGTCCAGACACTGAATGTTTAGCTTTCGGTTTAGAACCATAGACAGTGAAACCTCAATTTATTGGACTCTTTAATCATTAAGTCTTTATCAAATTGTATTTCATGCTGTACTTTCATCTAAATTGGGAGAACATAGTCTTCTCCAGAAGTTACACAGACATTTTCTTCAGCTACAACTTGAGTCCTAGAGTTACATGAGGATTTTTATTGTCTTCAAAAGGTGACCTTGAGACATCACAAAATCCTCAATGAAACTCTCTAGATTAATGCTTTGGAGAAATGCTTAACAGCTAGGGTTAAAACAAAAAGGGTTTGCTGGTTAATGTTCAGTTTATTTTGATACTCCCATTGATCCAGCCCTCTAGACAATATAGAGGAGATGGTTATTGTTACTTTTAAGAGTTGTTATTGTGTTTAAAATACCAAATGAGCCAAACTGCATGGAGATAAAAGTAAACAACACATGAAATGAGAATATGGCCAACTTTTTTATTCAGACTAATGAGATTTAGGGAGAAAAGCCTCCATAGGTCCCTCCCCTCCCCTCTCTTTTCTTTTCTTTCTTTTTTTTTCTTAAGACAGTGTCTTACTCTTTTAACCCAGGCTGGAGTGTAGTGGTGCTATCAGACCTCACTGCAGTCCCAAACTCCTGAGCTCAAGTCATCCTCCCACCTCATCTTCCCAAGTAGCTAGGATCACAGGCATGTGCCACAGTGCTTGCTAATATATATTTTTTCATTTGTTTGTAGTGATGGGGTCTCATTAGGTTGCCCATGCTGGTCTCAAATTTCTGGTCTCAAGCGATCCTCCAGCCTCAGCCTCCCAAAGCACTGGGATTACAAGCATGAGCCACCATGCCTAGCCTAACTCTTTTCATTATATTCTTCCACATGAACTCTTTTCATAGATAAGCAAGAATGTCTTTCCTGGCATAGTTAAACAATACACAGTACATTTTTCTAACCAAGGAAGGGGGAAATATTTTATCTTTGCTGATCCCATTTAGAGTTACTGTTTCGCTCTCTATAAAAGTAATTTTCAAACTTTGATGTGAGTTAGAATAACCAGAAGTGCTTATTAAACACATAGACCCAATATTTTGAATCAGCAGCTCTGAAGTGAGTCTTGCAAATTGCACTTCTGTGAAACGTTCCAGGTACTTGTGATGCAGTAGGCCCACAGATTGGACTTTGAGACTCCATAACTGCTGACCACATTCCAACAGTGCTGAACTACTAATATGTGTTGGTCCTAATGTCGTTGACAGTTCAAACATTCAGACAGAAGTTTGAAAAATGCAAGACATATAAACCCTGCCCCATTCTTTCTAACACTAAACTAAGCAATGCTGCAGTGCACAAATAGAAACATGCTCACCTGGTCATCAGATCAAGGTCACAGAAATCCCCCGCATCCTGCCTGCTGACTGGATTCAATGCCAACTTTACCCCAGACTTCCCTATAGAAACTCTCCGATTGAAAACACACGAGTAACTTAATTGCACTGGGAGAATGAAAGGGTTTGAGAATTATCAAGAAAATCTGCAAACCTATTTTGCCCCTATTTTGGGGCAGGGGCAGTGGCCCTTGCCCCAAAGTTAAAAACATCCTACAAATACCTACATATTTAATAGAAGAAGCAAATGTAAGAAGCCACCGTCATCTCACTTAGAGTATTCCATCTTCCCAGCAGAGAATGGGTTTCCACAATTTACCTTTGCTTTGTACTGCAAAGCACAGAAAGCAGATGTTTCCAAGATAAAAATGTGAAACTCTGGTCCAGGGAAGAACCCTGCATCAGGCTATAAATTCAACTGTACTAACCCTAATGCAGTGGATTTATTTATTATTTTTTCCTTCAGTTTGCCTACTTGTCCTGTGAAAGTTGTTCCAACAGCCTTCCCCAGTGAAAAGACTTCAGAAACAGGACCTGTCTTCAGGAAAGGAAAAGTGAAGTGTTGATATACTGACCCACAGGGCACAAAAGCCCACTGACAGATGGCACGAAAAGAAGGAAAGTGCTGAGAGGATTAAACACAAAAGGATTTTATGAGCAGTAAAGGCGGTAATGAGTCCCTCTGGAAAGAGGCCACAACATACTAATAGGTGCCATTTGATCTGTTAAAGCGCACAGACAGACAATGTGAGGGGTAAACAAAATGCCCAGAACATATTTGGGTAAATGGGGGAGATGATCGCCATACAAACAGCCAAGTGCTCGTGCTGCCAACACATCTCTTGGCCTCTTGAGGTTGCGTTTTGAAAGCCTAAGAGGGTTATGCTGATTTCAACATACGCTCTTATCCCTGGGATCTGGAAGGCAATTATAAAGTCATCTTTCATGAGCGGGCTATCCCACAAATGCTACCCGACTGCTATTACGCCTGACAGTTGGGCCAACTTCTGGTTCAAAAATAGCTCATTTGTCAGTTTCTTCTACTCCCTGCTATTGTGAAAGAGTCAGAATTAGAAGGCATTGTGGGGACGCCAGTTGAATCACTTTGAAATTGTGGCATTGGTTTTTCAGGGAGAGAGGGGACTGCAGGCCCCAGGGGCCAGGAAAGGCTTGTGGGTTGCTCAAGAGGAAATGCCCACTTTGGGAAAGCTGTCTGTGGGATTCCCTGAAATGAGATGCATGTTGCAGCTACGCAAATACTTCTGAGATCTTTTAGAGTCACGGCCCCGCTCTTTGTCCTGTTTTGCGGGGCCTCACTCTCCCTTCTCTTGTACTCTATTTAAAGAGTAAACAAAATAGGAATTTGCACCTTGGCCCTAGGGAGGAGCACAATAGTCATTGACAAGTACCCAAGGAGTCTTCCCATGGCTCGCAATGAACACACCATGTGCCTTCAACGATGACTTACGCAATGGTCTCTGAATCACTCCCATAAAGAAAGTGCAAACATATTTTTCTTTTAGACTAAGAGTGCCCACCCCGAAAATGCACACAGGTAACCAAACACAGACAGCTGGCTTTCTAAGAGATAGGGACTTTGTATTGAAGCATCATGGCAGCCCCGTAGCAGCAGCAATTTCAAGGGGCTTCAAATCTTTAAAGAACTTCATGGATGGTCTGTGTTTCCTCTTCTAATCTAGATCTATTGAAGGACAGTATAAGTCAAGTTCTGGCTTCTGGGACCTGCGCACTGTGACTCCTTGAAGACTCAACAGATCATGCATGGTCAAGGCAATAGGATGACGAATCAATGATTTATCCATTATGGAAAAACATTCAGCAGATGTAAAAGGAACCGTACAAAAACATATCAGTGTGATTATCATAGGGTCTCAAGATGAATGCACTTTATTGATAGGTTGAATTAGATACAAAAATATGTTCCATCTCCTTCAGGGAATGACACCAGCTTCCTTTGACATAATTAGGTGTGGAATGGGCTCCCTCCACCTTAAATATGCTTGATTATATGTGTATGTATATACACGTTTATGAGGTGTGAAAGTTTGTGAACATATAAAATATATTTTGATTACATACAATCTAATACGTATTTGTCTATATTTGTTTAAACCGTATGAGGTATTTTTGGTAGATTAACAAAAATACTTAAGTTGGGCATCAGCAATTTCATACAGCTCAATCCAATTTTGTATGCACAGTGGTCATTAAGCCACTGTGTTTCCTCTGCAAGCCCAGCTTCTAAACTCTGATTTGGATGCTGAGGCTGGGACCCTGCAGACCATATTTCTGTGTTGCAGCCAGCTCTCTGTTGGGCTGGGCCAGTAAGGGGTGCCAGAGGGAACCTGCAAGATGAGAAGAGGAAGAAAATCTTGCCTCTTTCTGTTGGCTTGCTATTCCTGTAAGCATCCCACTAGGCTTGCTACTTTACCTGGCAATGGCTTTTGATCCCGAACTCCAAAAGTGTGGTTTTATGTATTTATTTTTAGCCCATGCTCCAAGAATGAATCCCATTGCACCTCCTCAGATCCAGCCCTGCAGGGTCACTCCTCTAAGGTTCTCATAAAGTCAGGTCCT
The DNA here is from genome assembly GCF_000001405.40 of Homo sapiens. Classification (NCBI taxonomy): domain Eukaryota; kingdom Metazoa; phylum Chordata; class Mammalia; order Primates; family Hominidae; genus Homo; species Homo sapiens. The sequence goes on along the minus strand of NC_000020.11, from coordinate 6,488,316 downwards.
TCTCTTGGTTCCCATAGTCTAAGAAGTAGTAGCTGCTTACAATACCTATTTTTTTCTGTAACAAATTTTAATCCTCCAATATCTGCTTAACAAATTTCATATATTAAATTTTCTTTGCTAAAATAACTGGCATAGTATCTGCTTTCATGACTAGATTATGACTGATATAGTATGTATACATATTTAAAATGTCCATTTTATGTACACATGGTTACATTATACATATGGAGAAAAATGTAGAGACATAGAGAAACAGAAAAGCTTAAAATGACAATGATACTCTACACTTTTTTTTTTTTTTTTTGAGATGGAGTCTCCCTCTGTCACCCAGGCTGGAGTGCAGTGGCACCATCTATGCTCACTGCACCCTCCACCTCCTGGGTTCAAGTGATTCTTCTGCCTCAGCCTCCCAAGTAGCTGGGATTACAGGTGTGCACTGCCATGCCTGGCTAATTTTTGTATTGTTTTTTAGTAGAGATGAGGTTTCACCATGTTGGCCAGGCTGCTGGAACTCCTGATCTCAAGTGATCCACCTGCCTCAGCCTCCCAGATTGCTGGGATTACAGGCATGAGCCGCCACACCTGGCCTACATATTTTAATACCCTCAGACAATACAGCTGTTGAAACTGTGTATTTACTAAAGTTCAACCTCCCCCAAGCCCACTGAAAATGTACCCAAGTGGCAAGAAAACTATGAGTTGCCTTTATGCCAACACAGTTTAAATATCATCAGGCTGCCACCCAGCCAAACTAGAAAGATGATGATAAATAGTGAAACATAATCAGTTCATTTTTTTTCCTACGGGTCATTTGAAAAAGTGGATTAGATAGCTGATTTATTCAGATATTTCAACGATTTTTTTAAAAACTCTGCCCAGTTTTGACACACAGGCTTTTTAAGTTACTCACCCTAAATAATAGGGCTGTTACTTTCAGCATTATGCTCACTTGCCCTTCACAAGCTTAGGCTCTGCTGGGAATCTGCCGTACCTCAGGTCATATGAATATAGAGGTTGACTCTAACACAGTTGTCCACACTGGCTCTCACTCTTTGTGACTCTTACCAAAGGCCTCAGATTTCCACAACACAGGGAGGCCTTTCGTGTGGTCAACTTTCCTATTCCTAATTTTAACACACAGAGCACTCAATAGGAAAGAGGGTTTTTTTAAAGGGTCCAAGATAAGCACATGGTTTCCACTCAGCAGCTATCCTGACCTCAGATCTATTTCAAGAAAATATTTCATACTACACATATCACATTGAGAAGAAAGGCCATTTTCTAATCAAGACATTTGCCATTTCCTCTTAAGGACATTCACACATGCACCATAAGCATGATGTTTCATATCATATATGCACTGAATGTCCAACTGATTCTCCTGCAGTAACTAAGGTTTGTGCATACTGTCAAGTACACAAATAGACACACACACAACACACACTATACTCTTCCAAACGTACAAACCAATTTTAAAGTATTGAATAAGCTCAAGGGTTTTCTTTAAAAAAACAAACTAATATATACAAAACCATCCAACACCAAAATCATTTATTAATAATGGGTATCATCCACAGTACACAAATAACTGAACAAATTGGGTTTCTCACCTCCCTCAACTCTGCACTGAGCTAAACAGTCTGCCCAGCATATAAAGGCAGATCCAAGATTAGAGTCTAAGCCCTGAGGACATCTCGGTCATAATAGATATCTTTAGCCCACCCCAGAGGGCACCTGGAGCTTCCTCAGTTCTCAAACATGCAACAACATGTGCACCTTTCTGCCTGAGGGTGCAATAAGGGGTAAGTGGGAGTCAAATATTCCAGCTTCTTTGTCCCTGGGTTGAACAATTCAGAGGTCCCTAGCAGGAGTGAACCCCATTGCCCAGCATTGTAACTCACTGATAAACGCTCGCTTTATTGGCTTTCCGGTCTTACTTCCCTACTCTCATCCTTCCTGGCATCACCTCCCAAATAAATATTTGAACTCAAATTCTTGTCTCAAGGGCTACTTTTAAGAAACCCAAACCGAGATAGCCACTTAACTTCTGAGGATCATCCCTGACCCAAGCACTGTATGTCTCATGTTAACCGTTTCTCTTGAGGCTGGTACACAGCCAAATCCTGAAGACCCCTTCCTCTTTCCTGAGAAGATGGTTTCTAGAATCCCTCATCGTCACCTCACTTTTGGTGGGAGATTCATTTTCTAGTTTGCTCTTTGCCTTAAAAAATAGGGGATGGTAATCTATGCAAGAATGTTTGCTTTCCTGCTGTACTGAGAATCAAATATAAGAACTGTAGCTCTAGCCCAAGGTAAATGCCTATGTGTGATGGATAGAAACTCGATACCATCTCTCTCACAAAATGAACAAAGTACTCAACAAAAAATTATATGTGATGTGCACAAACTACTCAAGTTACTGCAGGCATTAACCAGGCTCTAACATACCTTCTTTATCTCCAAATTGTGAAATAAAATAATACAGTTAGAGTTCAGGTAGTTTCAATATGTTTACTATACTATGTAACAAGGCTCATTAAACTACTTTATAAGGAGTGACAGTGGGCACTCATAATCTCAATCTGATGGCCTCTATCTCGCGTTAGTATTCAGATATATTTCCTAGAAGAGCTACAGACTTAAAGTGTCATTTTTTGTCACCTCCAAATATATCAAAGAGTGTCAGGGTCCTCCCGTTCCCTTGGCAGGTGACAGTTAACATCTGCTTCCCACAAGTCTGATTTGAAACTCTATCTCCCAGGATCATTCTTATCTGTGTGGCAAAGCTGGTGCTGTGTGCTTAAGAAGGTGAATTTGACAATGTGTTACCCGACTGCAATAAATGAGGACAATAAGATATGCTTTGGGGAGGAGGTTCTCGACGTTGAGTGTGCAAGAAAAAGTCCCAGTTACCCAAATTTTACCGGACATCAGAGAATCTCTGTGGTTTTTGATACTTTGAAAATGCTCCATAGGAAATCTTTCACACATCCTGACTTCCAAGTACTGCAGAGAACTATGAGAAGAGAACCTTTCAACTGCATTGCAATCTTGAATCTTACAGAAACCACTCCTATGGCTTTAGATACATCTTTGCTTGCCTCTACTCCTCCGTTTCTTTATCTGTAGGGAAACACCACCCATGCTACCTACCTCATAGAAAAGGGAAAAAAATTGTACACAATTTTATTTAAAAAAAGAAAACAGAAAAATAAAAAGAAAAAGAAAGACATCACTGCTTTGGATACAAGAATCCTGTGATGCAGAAATGCCAAATGGCTTAAATAAAACATTGTTAGAGGCCCTTTCCAGAAGAATCAATATTTAAGGGGGACAAAAAGATAAGAAAGGAATAAAGGGAGGGAGGGAGGGAAAAATGCAAAGTAGAATAAGAATGAAAATGTGAGTGCATTTTGTTTATGAGAAAGAGAAAAAAAGATGGAGGAAAAACTTTTTTAATTTTTTTTGGAATTAGAAAATAATTGAAATTTTGAAAAACTCAATGAAATAGAAATGGGATAATGGACATAATGCTGTAGTATATCTAGCAACATGACAAATATCGTGAACAGTATCACATCACACTGTGAAACCGATACTGTTTGATATTTGCTCATGCTTTTTAAATTTTCCTTGGGAGTCCTGGAATATTTTTTAAATTATGTTATCAATAGAATCAAGAATATTCATAGATGACGTCTTCAAACACACTCATGTAATTCTAATTGTGTCATTATATTGATTACTAACGCTAAACAACTGCAAAGGTAACCACTGAGCACTTAGCTTAGTATAAACTGATGACATCATCCTCCTTCTACTGCAAGTTTCTCAGCTGTAGCCATAGAATCTATCTCAAAGTTGAGCTTTCAACCAGGATTGCCCAGTCCCAATTCTGGCCATTGGCTTTTTGCATACAAGAGGCTCTAGTTCTGGCCAGGCGTGGTGGCTCATGCCTGTAATCCCAGCACTTTGGGAGGCCGAGGTGGGTGGATCACCTGAGGTCAGGAGTTTGAGACCAGCCTGGCCAACATGGTGAAACCCCATCTCTACTAAAAATACAAAAATTAGCTAGGTTTGGTGGCAGGTACCTGTAATTCCAGCTACTGAGGAGGCTGAGGCAGGAGAATCGCTTGAACCCAGGAGGTGAAGGTTGCAGTGAGCCAAGATAACACCATTGCACTCCAGCCTGGGGGAAAAGAGCAAGATTTCATCTCAAAAAAAAAAAAAAAAAAAAAAAAAAGGCTCTAGTTCTGCGGTAAGTATCACCAGTCTTACTGCTTATCTGTTACTTTTCTCCAAGTACCGGCCACTGTTTTAATTTCAGTGGTGCTGTGGTCAGGATCTCAGCTTCAGCTCTCTTTCAGAAAACTTGAAACCAATTTAAAACTCAGTCCTCACAGCTGGTTCTTCATGACCTGACACCAGGTCTTTTGGCTGAGAACAGGATTTCTTCTAGACCCTGCTTCTGGCTGAAAAAACAGGCTTCATGCTCTGTTCTCATTTCTGTTTCATGCCTCCCTCTACCATTAGCTCCAACTGCTGCCCTTTTATCAAGACAATTGTATGTCCATACCTGCCTCAATTTCCCTGTCACCTCACTGCTGCACATTTATCTGGAATATTAGACCCAGTCATATTGTTTTGACAAATAGGAAAAAAAATGAAAAAGAAAGAAATCACTGTTTGGGGTGCAAGGAGCCTGTGATGCAGAAAAGGCCTCTCAGTGCTGAATTTGACAATATACTAGGCATCAAAATAACCAAATTCCTACGAGGAACTTCAGCAATGCTTTGTAGAGCTACTGGACTTCATGTTCGCAATCTAGACACAGCAAGATTAAGGCCAGATCTGTGCTCCAGTGTCTTCAAACATTCAGTGACTAAAGATTCTGCCCAGAGTATAGGAGCCAGCATCCTGAGTGGGATTAGCATAAGCCTTTGGGTACAGCCATAGACATGAGTTCTCATGTGAATGTCTTTTAACATATGTTCTGTGATTAAAAAAAAAAAAAAAAAACCCTGAGAACAATTACACTATCCAGTTGGTAAACCTTAAAATTTAAAGCCAAGCAACAGGGAAAAAAAGCATCTGCTCCCTCCTGTGCTTTCCCACCCAGACATTAATGACATTTCTTGAGCTAGTCCTGGAACCAAAGCCTGTTTCCATGATCAAGCCCCACCCCAGCACTTCAATATCCGTAAAACTCCAGTGGCATCCAGCTTGTACCAAAAGCATTTCCTCTTTTCAGTCTGTCTGGACATTTAAATTTGAGGGCCAGCCTTCAAATACACAACCAGCCACCACATGTGCCAATCTGACTGGATCCCCTAAAATAATTTGACAGGCTATCAATAGGTATATAAAAAAAAAAACAACAAAACAAAACAAAAACTTGACTTCAGCCAAATATCTTAGGGTAATTCAAGTTAAAAAGTAAACTAATGTATTTATGACAAAGTTTGGATACATTTTTTAAATAATGATGTGATTCTCCATAAGAGAATAAGATGGAGCTCTCTTCCTTGAAGAGCATTTCACAAGATTATTCCCTCATGAAACATACTTTATGGAACTCCTTGTGAGCCAATAGCATGTCTATTTGTCATTGAACTATTCCATTTGCACAGTTCTAGCCATGAATAAAAACTACATTGGAATGGAATCACATGGAATGGGATGGAGTGAAGTGGGGTGGAGGGGAGTGGAATGGTATGGAATCAAATCAAATTGAAGGAAATGGAGTGGAATGCCTGAGAATACTGGTAGCTTGCCAGAAGAATACAATAAAACCCCAGTTGTACTCTAGTTTTAACTTCCAAACTGAATTGTACACATAATTATATCTGTCCCCCATCCTCACTATCCAACCATGGACTCTTACTAAACAGCCTTGATTCTTGGATTCTGGCAAGTGGGTCTATTTCCAGGGCACTAGAAATAGATCGGCTCAGACCTACTGTCCTGAGATGTGGCAGGGTCATGGGTAAAAGCTTAGACCATAGCCTCGCTGACTGAGTGGATCCATGTCTGGTAAACTGATGCACTAATGTGACAAGATACCCAACATCTGCACTCATGTGTGCTAGATACTCAATAGGTGGATATTGCTAGAATCAGGGAAGCCTTCAGAGACCTGCTTCCATAGAAACATAGACATCTAGATTTGCTTTGTCCCCATCTCTCCAGATTTGTCTGTCTCCTCTGAGTATTGAAATACTGTGCCATTCTTCTCTGAACCACTAAAGCCTGACCATAGATTCACCAAATACTCTTTCTTTGGAGCCCTTGCTGATCCTCTAGTCTACTTCATCTTTGGATTCCTACTATTTTGTTTTCACTGAGGCTGCACAGGCAGGCCCTGATTAAGCCCAAGTTCCAGAAATCTTTTATTTGACACCCGTATCTAGTTTCAGCTAGTCCCCTGACTTATCCAGAGCTAAGTCCACCTGTTCCTTCCAAACCATTTCTACCTTATCAAAGGAGCTTGTGCCTGCTTATTTTAGAAGGCAGAAAGGGAGGAAAAGAGGCAAATATTCTTCATCGAATAAAGCTCTTCACTAAAGTGAAGTCTCCCTAAGCTTTTACCCATGACCCTGCCACATCTCAGGACAGTAGGTCTGAGCCAATCTATTTCCAGTGCCCTGGAAATAGACCCACTTGCCAGAATCCAATAATCAAGGCTGTTCTGTAAGAGTTCATGGTTGGATCTAGCTAGCTGCATACTCTAAGTTTAAGATGTCTTTTTTTTTTTAGCAGTTCTTTCTTGTTAAAAAAAAAAAACACTACCTGACATACACCTGGTTACCCTTATTCCACAATTTTAGTAAATGGAACTTTCTCTAGCCCCCATCTCTGAGCCCTAGGGTTGGTTGGTGCCTCCAACACCATCCCCTAGTGTTTCTAGGAATTATAGTTCTACAACAGACTCCAGCCCTTGTGGACAGTAGACCTATCACCTTTCCGTTTTCTGGTCTCTGCCCACCTTCTGAGGCCTCAGCCTTTGCCTACTGCCAGTTGCCCCTGATTCTCACTGACTTCCTTCCTCATCTTGTGGAACCTCCCCAGACAGCCTCCCATGATGGCTGCTCAGGCTAAATCCAAGCCTTGGCCTATTCCACTTTTGATTGAGCCCTGCTTTTCCCACATCTGACTCCAATTTGTGCATGTGTGCAGCAAAGCAGCTCAGTTTTGAAAGGGAAGACAGTTAAGGCCAGATTCTAGATAACCCAGCTTTTATTCGACATTTGCATGATTTCTAAAGTGGTCAGTTCTTCAAAGTCAGAGACACACCTACCAACGATCCAACAGATTCCAACTCTGGGGAATTTTGTTTCCCAAGAAGAAAGACTTTTCAGGGGAATGATTTATGTTCACACGGCCTGAGTATTCTCTGCTGAGGTCTGAATTTCCAGGGTGAAATGTATCTCTTGGCTGCTTAGAAGTCTCCATGTCTCTAATTGTGCTCCTAGCTTGGAAGCTGTTGGGGTGCTTGGACCCGCAGAGAATTCCTAATGTGTGATGCTTCCATGGGAAGTACTATTTCAATAGCAGAAGGCCAACACATCTGATGGGCAGACTGCCCACTGGGCCATCTTGTCTGCCAACACTCCCACATTTATTAAGGTTCTTTTGTGCGATAAAGAGGTTGGACACCTGGATCCTTCCAAAAACGAAACAAAATTAAAGCTGCAATTACCTGCCTGCCCTGTGCAAGGCAATCCACCCTGCTGTCCTTTTGGTTTTACTGGTGACAAGCAGATGTCACCCAGAGCAATTTGGAAACCTGAGCAAACAGAATTCAGATAAGGTTCAAAAGAAGAACTTAATCCAAAAGTACAACCTACCTGCCAGACAGTGAATATAGGAGCTAATAGACAGGGAACTGGAAACAAGCAAAGAGATTCATTATATTGACTCTCCTGGGCCCCAACCCTCCAACACGCTTTCTTTTGCTAGCTGAGGCTGCCTCCTCCTGAGCTGCCAGCTAGTCTTGCTCCAGATTCTGGAGGCTTCATGGGAATATAAAGTACTCTATAAAACTCTTGGAATTAAATTTTAGGTAGAATTTGCTGTTTCAGGTTTAACGGTTGATCTTCCACTTGGACCCTACAATCAAGACATCATCTTGGCTCCCTGTTGAGGCCCATACTGAATTTCCAGTACATGGAGATCTGAAGCCAACCTCAGTTCTGTGGAGAACTCTCTTAAAGAAGTAATTGCTGCATTCATTGATGTGAGAAGATACTTTGCATGCATGAAGTGCCATATAATGACCTTCCTTTTGTGTTCAGCTCATTCCATGTGTATTTTGAGTCTTCACTGAGTATAGCCATAGAATGTGTTACAATATGCCTGGCTGATGATCCCCGTTACTGGATCTGGGTCTGTTCCCAAATGTCTCTCTAATTCCTGGTTCTATCTTCTCCCAGATTGCTCCTTTTAGTTTCAACAACACTTAGAGTTTCTATCTTCCTGAGAAAGCTACAATATTTCATTCTGCCTTGCATTCCAGTGGGTTGTTTACAAAACTACCTTGTCCACTCTTTTCATAAGATCCTCGAAGAACAAGACAAAATTTTATTCTTCATTACAGTTCCTACAGTGTTTTAAAAGTGATTTTTTGTACATAGTAGATGCCTAATAAGAGATTGTTGAATAAATAAATGAATGGAAATGTAAATCAGAAACACTCATCTCAATCAAAAAGAGGTGGCTGTGGCTTTTGATATAATAAAGAAAATTACAAAATATGGGGCAGATAGCATATATGTTCAACAGAGTATGAGTCCATCAATATCTGCTCAATTAAACAAAGGAATGTAGGTCACCCACAATGGCCTGGAACCATAGCTGGTTTTCTAAAGGATCATAGTGAGTTCAAACAGACTTTATTAAGAAAGAGAAAGATGAGTGCTAACTTGGAAAGAGAGACATTTAAGTTCAAAAATATAAAATTTGAGAGTGAAGTGGCTCTGATGATGATTTCACCGTAGCACTTGGCCACGCCTTACATATGAGTTTGGTAATTTATACCAGAAAAAGTAAAAATGGCTAACAGTGCCAGCTACTGTTGTGAGTGATTTATAGAGAATAATTGATTTTACCCTTACAAACTTCCATATGAGATTTGTACCATTCCAAACCAAATTTACAGCCTAGGAAGTTAGCACATAGGAACAAAAACCAAACAAACAAAAAAAAGTAGAATGAGAATTTATAAAGAGGAGAATATTAGTGTTCAAAACCTTGACTCTAAAATATAATTCAAAAAAGTAAAAATGGCTAACAGTGCCAGGTACTGTTGTGAGTGATTTATAGAGAATAATTGATTTTACCCTTACAAACTTCCATATGAGATTTGTACCATTCCAAACCAAATTTACAGCCTAGGAAGTTAACGCATAGGAACAAAAACCAAACAAACAAAAAAAAGTAGAATGAGAATTTATAAAGAGGAGAATATTAGTGTTCAAAACCTTGACTCTAAAATATAATTCACAAGAATTTAGATGATGAAGGGAAATGGAATCAGAGGAAGTATCAGTAGGATATTCTTTTAATATTTTGTGGTAGGTAGTCAATGGATTCTCAAATTAAAATATTAGCTTAAAATTAATGAAAACTCTAAAACTCCAAACACTTCACATTTTTCATATCTGTTTTTTTTTCTGATAGGATAATTTTAGGAACTAATACCTGTAATTAAAACTGTTTTTTTTGAAGTTGAGTAACTTTGTTCCATTTTACCTTAATTACTATTTCTTATGATAAATTAGTTTGTTCAAATAACAGGTATTATATTAACTCCTGTCTCTCTTTCTCTTTTGCTTTTTCTCTCATGCCAGCCCCCTCTGAAAAGTCAAGTATAATTAGCATTTACTTATTTCTACCAGAATGCAGACGGCCCCCACCTTACGATGATTTGACTTATGATTTTTCAACTTCACAATTATGCCCATACAACCAATCTGTCTTTCATTTTCAGCAGAGTACTCAATAAATTACATAAGACAGCAGGCCCCAACCTTTCTGACACCAGGGACAGGTTTTGTAGAAGACAACTTTTCCATGAACCAGGGGGCGTGATGGGGGGGGCGGGGGGTAGTTTGGGGTATGATCCAAGCACATTACATTTATTGTGCACTTTATTTCTATTATTGTTACATTGTAAAATAATATGTAATGATATAATTATATAATTCATCATAATGTAGAATCAGTGGGAGCCCTGGTCTTGTTTTCCTGCAACCAGATGGTTCCACCATTTTAAATCTATGATTTATTTTAGGGGAGACAGTCACAGATCATCAGGCATTAGATTCTCATAAGGACTGCACAACCTGGATTCCTCACATGAGCAGTTCACAATAAGGTTTGTGCTTCTATGAGAATCTAATAGAGTTCCCTGGCATGTGCAGTTCACAATACGGTTTGCGCCACGATGAAAATCAGTCCTGCCAGCCGCTGATCTGACAGAAGGCTGACTCAGGCAGTAATGTGAGCTATGGGAAGCCTCTGTAAATACAGATGAAACTTCACTCTCTCGCCTGCCACTCACCTCCTGTTTTGTGGCCCATTCCTAAAAGGCCATGGACCAGTACCTCCATGGCCTGAGGACTTGGGGACCCCTGACATAACATGTCCAACACTTTATTATACAATAGGCTGTGTGCTAGATTATTTTGCCCAGCTATAGGCTAATGTAAGTGTTCTGAGCATGTTTAAGGTAGGTTAGACTATGATACATCAAATGCATTCTTTTTAATTTTTTTTTTCATTTTTATTTTTTTAAGAGACAGCCTTTCTCTGGTGCCCAGGCTGGAGTGCAGTGGCACAAAGTTAGCTCATTGCAGTCTCAAATTCCTGGGCTCAAGAAATCCTCCAGCCTCAGCCTCCAAAAGTCAGATTACAGGTGTGAGCCACTGAACCCAGCATGCATTTTTTACTTACCACATTTTCAATTTATGATGAGTTTATCAGGATGCAACCCCATCTTAAGTTGAGGAGAATATGTATACACTGCATGCTACATGGAGTGGGAAATTAAAAATAAATATAAGGTAAATGAACTCTATAGCTAAGGCCTACATTGGGAGAAAGAAATGATGTCTCACATCTTATCGTCTACAGAAGCCAGCCAGAGGCTAGAAACAGAAACTTCCAGAGCTCCACTTGGACTTAGCTTCTTCCCCTCTTTGTCTGTGGATACTTTGTACATGTCAAAGTTCTCATAGTTCTCACAGAAAACTTCAGGCTAAGCATTAAACCTTTGATTTGTAATACTCATATCTCACATCTCTTTTGCTGGTCTAAGCCGAAGATTTCTTCAAATTAATAATCACCAGATTTTCACATTCATTAAAATCCAACCATACTCCAAGAAGTAAATACACAGAAGAGAGAACAGATGACTGCTGTGTATGCCTGGGGTGCAGGCCCTTACCCTCAGAGTTAAAGCTAAGCCCAGGCTCAGACTACCCCCTTTCCCACCATCTCACACCAGGGCAGAGTCACTTTGCTACAGCGTCTGCTCACCTATTCCCTTCTTGTCTAGTTCACAAAGCAGTGTGTGAGGTTTCCTTGTCTTGGACACACAGGTTTCATTGGAGAAGAAAGGGTTTGGCGGGTACCCCCATTGCTCCAGAGAAAGCTCATCATCAAGAACTGTAGAATGTGACCATTTCTGAGACTGAGGTGAGGGGAACAAAGGGCCTGGGGCCGGAGGTGAAGACTGAGGTCTAGGACCTGATGAAAAATGAAAGAATCACTGAGAACCACCCATCCCCCCACCACACACAGAGCAGCCTCATTTGTAAGTCCAAGGCTCACATCTTTCATTCCTGCATGACAGAGAAATGAAAGAAGGCTTCTTCCCCATGGCATGAGAGGTTCTCACCCAGTCCACAGGCTCTTTAGGGAAAAGAATGGAGTCCATGGGGCATACACTTACTTACTTGCAAACATGGCTTTAAAACGGCCACAAAGTGTTGATAATGTTAAAAAAAAAATGACATCATTGTTGGGTCCTTTCTTCACCATCATGTGTTCTTCATAAGAACCTGGGTTATTATTTTCAATACAAATTTTTATTACATTTACACATAACAAAATAGAGAAAATATCAGTACTATAAAAATCATTTTAAATCTATGGTTTACTTTAGGGGCTTAGATTATAATAATTCAGAATCTCTAATTAGAGATCATTCTTTATTATATTCTCTGTTTATTCATACTTGGAATTCAATTTGTATTTATAACAATATTCAAATAACAAATTGAAAAATAGATTAGATTCAAAATATTAAACATGGGGAAACCAGTTATGAGACTTACTGCGTTGAGTAAGAATCAGGATATTGGCAATGGGTATGAAAAAGACTATGAGAAGATAAAGGCTAAAATAATAGGAAATTATGCCTGTTTGGATAGAGGAATTGATTTAAGTGGGTGGCAGGGGGCTAAATGAAACTTTAGGATTTACTGCCCAGATATACTCACCTTGTTTTTATGTCTCCTATAAAAGGAATTGCCCAAATCCATTAGGTTCTTTGTATACTTCATTTCCCAGCTAAACACCAGTGGGCCATAGCAAAAAACCTCCAGTGCAAGGATGGAGCGCAAACTTTTTTTCATCAATATACACATGAAAGGCATACAAATTATATGTTCAAAAATAATGCAAGGCACAGCATTTTCCAGGCTGTGACATCAACAAGATGAGGTAGGAGAGGAGTAAAAGTTGCATTCCAGTAGTCATCCTCCCATCCCTTCTTTCCTTTACCCCACATCACAAAACCTGGTGAAATGTTACAGCCCAGCTCCTGTGTCTTCATGAGTCAGACCCAGTGCATGGCATGTCAGGTTAGAATCATTACCATCATGCTCAAAAAGCACCCTGACTCCAAAATGTATATGAGACAAAGAGAAACTGCTAGACGGCTAGACACTCTGCCAGCCATCCAAGAGTTACAATCTAAAATGGAGACTTTGGACAGTCAGATGACAGAGGAAGAAAATGTTAAATCACAACATCAAAGAACAATCATGTACTCTATCAACTTCCGAGTGAGGAGAAGTATTAGGTACATGATCAAGCGCAGTCCTTGAATCAGATAGACATCTAACAAGGCGAAATCAATGTAGAGCCATACACAAAGTGAACTTAAGGATTTGGTTAGTCCTTAAGAGTTATTCCCTTTTTTTTTTTTTTTTTTTGAGACAGAGTTTTACTCTTGTTGCCCAGGCTGGAGTGCAATGGTGCAATCTCGGCTCACTGCAACCTCCGCCTCCTGGGTTCAAGTGATTCTCCTGCCTCAGCTTCCCAAGTAACTGGGATTACAGGCACTCAGCACTAAGCCTGGCTAATTTTTATATTTTTAGTAGAGACGAGATTTCACCACATTGGCCAGGCCAGTCTTGAACTCCTGACCTCAGGTGATCCACCCACCTTGGCCTCCCAAAGTGCTGGGAATACAGGCGTGAGCCACTGCGCCCAGCCAGGAATATAGCTTCTTATTCCTTGGTCTATTTTTTCAGGGGAAGTCACCTGGCGTGGGGCGTGGACTCTCAGGGCTGGGCGTTAGAGACCTGAGCTCTGTTCTTGGTTCTATTGTTAACTTGTCCTGTCATTTTAAACAAAGTCTGTGTCTCAGTTTACCAATTTGTTAAATGGAAGAATCAAGCCAAAATAGACATTCCCAAACTGCTTTGCAAGTCATACACAGAATCAAGAGGTCCTTATGGTGCTGAACTATATGCACGAAAGGAAACAGAGTACATAGGAGAAGAAGGTGAAGATGAAGGGGAGAAGATGCTAGGATATAGTCCCATCCCTGCCTCTGCCAGGGCTACTTCAATCATCTCACTTTTCAAATATTAGCCTTCCTTCTAATATTTCTCTTGAAAACCATATTCTGATTCTAAAGATGCCTAAAACTCACTGGGATTAATGATTATTGAATTAGGCCTTGCCATTCCATTTTAACTCCTTAGAACATTTTCTTTGGTTTTTACTTATTTTATTTTGGGTCCTGAAAAAAGCATTTTGTATTATTTTTAAAGGACCAAAGTTTTAATTTTCATTTTCATAGCGATTTCAGTATGTGTCCATATAGTCCGTCTGACTGAACCATTGAGTGTATATTAGGTACCAAGCTGATACCGACTGATTAATTGATATGGTATACATGAAAGCTTTTGGTAGATTGATTCTGCACTGTGAAATCTTGGGAAATGCCAAACATGAAATTTCAATTACCCTGACTGTAAATAAGCGGGGTGATACTCCCTGTTAAGCATAGTAATTACTTTTTGCATCACGAGCCTTCAGGTGTTTCCTTCCTTCTTTGCACGGATCTAGCCCTTTCCTAGTCCCTGCAGTTTTGCACTACTGCTTAGAGAAGACTAGTAGCACTCTTCAGCAGAATAGCTCATCCATCTAAATTACACTTCAGTCAATGGCTAAGATCTGCTAAGCCTTGTCAATAAAAAATATATGTTTCTGATGACCATGCAGGGAATGTGCATTTGGGTATCTTTACCGATTTGCAGAGCCTTAGCAGAGGAGTAAACAATGTTTGACTTCAGCTTTGCTACTGACACTTACTACGGAGTTGCATGGCAGCCAGAATTAACTCTGCCAGTGGTGCTTACTCACCTGTCCCAGTCTTCTGCATCACTTCCTGATGAGACCTCCATCATCATTTCTTCTTTACAAGCAAAAAAAGTCATTTCACCCAGCTTGAAATCCATATGAAAGCTAGCATTTGTGATCCTAGGGAGCAGATATACAAAGAAAGCAACTGATGTTTGACTCAGATTAGAGGGCTGATTCAACTATTACAAATTGCTGTGCTTTTAGCTAGGGAAAATTAGCAGGCAGTAAAGCCATGCCCAGCTGGAACCTAAGCTTCTCAAATGTTACTCCTTGCACAACATAAGTTTGTCATGTTCATTGCCCATTACTCATGCTGTCTTGAAATACTACATCATAGTCTAGTGAGAAAAGCCCTGGGGCCAAACAGCCAAGTTCTAATCTCCACTTATGTCTTAGTTTCCACCTTCTCTGTAGCACAGTTTCTTCTTCTTTAACATCTCTGTCCCACCTATTTCTTTCTGGAGAGGAACTAAGATGAGGAGATAGTAAAAAAGACCAAGTCACTAATTTTATTTCCAGAATCTATTAGGAAAACCAAATCCAATCCCTTTCACCGTATCAAGTCTGAATTTACCTGGTCCTCCTAGAACTCTCAGTCATAAGAGACAGATCGTCTTATAGCTAGTAGTCTCTATTTATCATTGTTTTATCACCAACTAAGCTTATTTTCCTTAAAGCTCCTTCCATAATTATCTGTAATGCTTAGGCCCCTCCATTTAACCTGGTCAATCAAGGCCTGTGCTTTTCCTAGGCATGCCCAAAGAAGCATCTTATAAATTCTTTAAGCTGGAGGAAGGTGCAGTCGGCCTTAAGATGACCCAGGCACAGCTAGTATCATCATGTGCATCTCCAAGTAAGTGCCTTAAGGCTCTTCATCATGGGTCAATGCTTTTTTGTAAGAATGGGGACTGGCAAAGCCTAGAAATGGATCCAGCCACCTACAACTCTATATTTCCTTCCAAGTTCCATTAAAAAGTAAAACAAGTCCTTTCTTACAGACAGCACCTAAATATTACAAAGCTCTTACCCCACACTTCTTTCACAAAGACTCTACAAAGGGAGCAGGAGACACCACACAGCACTAGTGCTTCCTTTGCATGTCTATCCAGGTAGTGAGGGCATCCTTTTGCTGGTTAAAACCCCGTTAGGTGAGCTTAGCAGGGAATAGGATGTCAAGCTCTGGATTTTTACAGCATAGTTAGGTTGAAGTGTAGAAATGTGAAACATAGGACGTAATATAAAAACTTATCTTGTCCATCTCCCTCCCCACTATATTTTCTGTTTTTGAAACTGAAGTTGTTTTAGGAGGCTTATTACAACGAGGAATATAAGAATTTGATCTTCATAGGTACAGACACACAGTCTTGTCACCTATAGTAACAAATCCTCAACATACATATAGCAAATTCCAACTGTTGAATGTGTTCTTTTGACAGTGGAAGTGCAAGTCCATATGACTATATTCCTCCCTCCTTCCCTCTAGCTTATTCCATTAAAAGATCCCACCTGACACACCATTACAAATTTTATAGACTGTTCTACAAGGCTAAGTGAGAACAGATGTATCTAGCCTTATTACTCAAAGTGTGGTCCTTGGACCAGCAGCACTGACATCATCTGGGAGTTGGCCAGAAATGCAGACTCCTAGGCCTGCATTTTAACTTTTAAATGTATTACGAATCTGAATTTTTATTTTGCATTTTAAATTTAATAAAAAATCTGCATTTTAACAAGATTCCCTAAATGACTCATAAGTACATTAAAGTTTGAGAAACACTGTTTATAGCAATGGCTGTCAAACTCTGCTGCCTGTTAGAATTATCTGAAAAACTCTTTAAAATCTCAATGACTAACTACCCTCAGCCAAAATCAGTGAGTTAGAGTCCCTGGGGGTGGAATCTAGACATCAGTGTTTCTTAAAACCCTCCAGTTGATTCTAATATGCATCCAAATGTCAGAACCGACATGTAAGGTACAAAGACGACAACCCATAGATTTATACCTTTAGGTGGTGGAGATGGGCAGTACAGAACTGAAGGGAGAAATCTGAGAAATGAGACTTTTGAGGCACACTTCCTATGAAGTAGGTAGGCCCCAGACTCCCATATGAGAAGAACGCACAGTATGAACCCATGATACACTCTCATGGCTAAGGCCACCTTGGGGACTGTAACTATCGCACGGCCACGTGACACCCAGATTGCTATGTCAGAAGTCCTCAATAAATACGCAATTTCATTGAATGACATCTTAATAGTACAAAAATGGAGACAATCTTCCCTCAATCATTTATCAAATTGGAATATTTTCTGAAAGGTGAAGAGCTGGGAGATTTTCCTACATTTTCTTTTATCCTTTCAATAAACCATCAAGGTGGTTTTTATTATTCCCATTTAAGGAAACATATTATCAGGAAGCTAAAGCTTATGGGTATAAGGAAACTAAAGCTCTGATACTGTGTGAGTTTTCTCAAGTTAAACAGCTAGTAGCAAATAAATTGAAGGACTAAAATAAAACTCAGTTCTCCTCAACTCTTGACATTGCAAAACTAAGTGCATGGTGAGAAAGAGAAAAAGCCCCTGCCAGCCAGCCTTGGTGTTGAGGAACTGGCCTTGTGTCCCCAGCTATGTCATTATTCTGTCCTGTCACACATACAAAATTTCCCAGAACACCAAGATCAGATAAATCCACTCTGTGACCATGATGGATCAAGAAAAAAACAAGACCACTCCATAAACACATGTAAGCACAGATAAAAGCATAAATACTGTCCAAGCCAGCATAATGACTAAATACTCCTATATCCTGGCTAATACGAATGTCTGCTGATTCTTCACCAGTTAACAGTGTTAGCCTCATATCATTTCTTTTGCCTTCTAAATAGGATCATGAAGATACCCAATCATAGAACTATCTCTGTACCAAATCATAAAATTGCTTCCCAACAGCCTCTACTTAAAAGCAAAGCTCTCCTTCCTTAAACCCTTCCTAAGATCACCCAGCACAAGCTAAAATCCCATAAGTCCTTTCTAGCACCCACTTAGCGAGACACTGAAAGGTTTCCCATGCCGTTGTCTTCCCTGTTGAGTTTATTTTAAGCTGATAACAACTTAAGTTCAATCACATCCAACTCTACACTTCTTATTATGCCCTCTTTACACTTCGTTATTGATGGCACAATTTACATCTACTTGTATTGTGTATCTCTTAACATTACTATATTTAATACTTTTATCTTTTAATTAGTATACTAGAATTAAAAGTGATTTGCCCACCACTGTTACACTAATAGAATATTCTACATTTGTCTATATATTTACCATTAGCAATGAGTTTTATACTTTCTCATGCTTCATGTTCCTGTTTACATTTCAAGTTGAAGAACTCCCTTTAGCATTTCTTGATTAGAAAGTCAATGGATGCTTGTTAAGTTGAATAAGTTCTCATTCCACTTTAGCCTGACATTTTCATCAAATTAAAGAACTGAACCCTCTCTAGTGATAGTAGTTATGTTCTCCATGCAATATAATACAGATACAGGTTACTACATCTTGAAAACTCAGATCTAGAGTTTTCTAGTAAGTAGAAAAGGGAATTTACAAACAAAATGTTGACTTTCATATTTTTAAATGACCAACAGAAACTACAACTTACAGAATTGATAACATCCTCTCTAGAAAGAATGCCAAAAGACAGAATAAATATCAAATGATACATACTGTGTTTGCTTTAGGAAGGGCAAGATGGAATGGTCGTTGGCTGAGGAATTTATAGGGTGACTAACAAGCATCGAGGAGGCTGTATACCACAATAATTAAGCACTGAGGTTCTGTAATCAGGAAGAACCGTTCAAATTCTGCTTTCACCACTTAATAGCTGTGTGTCTTGGGCATTACTTTACCTCTTTGATACGGCACTTGCCTAACACCTGACAAGCTCTCAACAAATGTCTAGAAAATTGTTCTTAACCAAAAATAGTTGCCCATTTCCCCGTCTTCCTGAAATGTTTACCATTAGTCTCTCCTTTAGGTGGGAAAATAGAAGCCCGCTATGGGAATTAAAATGTTATTTAACAGGTTTAACTAACTTTGCCATTCATTTTCAGAATGTAATACTGTAGGGTAAAGATGTACCATTAGAATATTGGATATCTAAGGAGAAGAGGAGGATATAAAAATTGGAAAGAAGAGGCATGGAAAATAAACATACATTTCTCAGTTTTTCCTAGGGCCATCCAGTTCTCACATAAGCCCCACCAAACACCCAATAAAAACTTGGTTCAAGACAGCTGAAAGAGAAACAGAAGGAACACATGTGTTTCTACATTTATAAACAAAAGCATGATGTAGCTCAAGCTTTGGGAGTCACTTGTACTTCTGTAATATTTTAATATCTTCCTTAGCCTAAGTTTCTTTTTTTCTATTTCAAAGAAATGCAGAATGAAAACAAAATTTAGTGAGCTTCCAAAACATTGTGCTAAGTGAAAAGAGCCAGTCGCAAGGAACCACATATTTTATCATTCCATTTATTTTAAATGTTTAGAATCGGCACATCCCTAGGGTCAGGAAATAGATTCGAAGTTGCCTAGGGCTGGGGTTAAGGGACAGAGGAATTGGAGGAAGTGAGGAGTAGTGTGTAAAACCTCAGAAGTGCAGGGGTTCTGTAAAATAATTCAGTTAGTTTTATTTGCATATATTATTTATAGAGAAAGAAAACATTAACAGGAAATGACTCAAGCATGTCATGCAAAGTTGCCTATAATTTTTCTTTTACATTCCCCTTCCCTGTGTAGAGAGCTATATGTAAATATGGAAGTAAGCAATGGGCAAATCATTCAATTAATATTGGTCCTTGCAGGCATAATGCTTTCAGTGTGGAATTGTAGACAGATATTAAGCAAATAAATATTCAAATCAAAAAAAGTAAGTACAATATTGTGTTGAATGATCATGACAAAGATCAATTATTGGGCACTTGGCCAACTCAGCCTCCTAGTACTGCATTCCCCATGCTATTTATGCTTCTGTGGCTGCTCTGGGCATGTCTTGTCATCAAGATACTAAGTGCTTTGAGATAGAAGCTGTGCCTTATTCATCCCTGGGCCCAGTGCTCAGAACAGTAGCATGCACAAAATAGATTCTTAATACATGTAATTGACAGCATAACCCAAATATAAAAATCCTGTTATTACTGGAAATACAGACTTTGGCTGAAAATATTGAGAGAGGCTGCCCTAATCAATTGCATGCCTCAACAAATTGACTAAATATAGTCATTCCTCACTACCTGTAGGGGCATTGACTCTAGACCCACTGCAGATAACAAAACCTGCATATGCTCAAATCCCTTATATAAAATGCAACATTATTTGCATATAACCTACACACATCCTCCCTACTTTAAATAATTTCTAGATACTTACAATACATAATACAATGCAAATCCTATATAAATAATTGTCATACTATATTGTTTAGGGAATAATAACCAAAAAAAGTCTGTACATGTTCAGCACAAATACTTTTTATTTTCCAAATATTTTCAGTCAGTGGTTCCTTGAATCCATGGATGCCAGAAGCCATGAATATAGACAACCAACTGGATATCCAAACAGAGAATATGCAACTCCTTATTAATAAGCCACTTTTTAAATATTTAGCTAGCTATTACTAATTATAAGTGTCTATGACTTCCATAGTATTCTTTTTCCTCTCTCTCCATGTGAGACATAAATTGTAGCTTCTGCATTTAGAGTCTGATTTTTTTCTTTTTTCCTGAAGAGGCAAACTCAATCAATGTTTCTCAAATTTTAACGTGCACATGAATCCTCTGGGGAGCTTGTTAGACAGCAGGGTCCGATTCAGTGGATCTGCATAGGCCTGAGAGTCTGTGTCACTAATGAGTTCCCAGCTGATACTGATACAGCTGGCCAGAGACCACTCTTTAAATAGCAAGGCAATAAATCTCAGCACAGGATCTCTGGTGGTGCTTCCATTACAGGGGAACCCTTTCATTTATTATAGTGCCAAAGTAGCCTCAAGTTCTTCAAATAGAAGTGTAAAATCAAGCTTTAAAATGGAGACTTTTTTTTTACACAGTGATTTTATTTTATTTTATTTTATTATTTCGAGATAGAGTCTTACTCTGTTGCACAGGCTGGAATACAGTGGCATGATATTGGCTTTCTGCAGCCTCAACCTCCTGTGCTTAAGGCGATCCTCCCCCCAGCTTCCTGAGTAGCTAGGACTACAGGTGCATGCCACCACACCCAGCTAAATTGTTCATTTTTTGTAGAGATGAGGTCTCACTATGTTGCCCAGGCTGGTTTTGAACTCTTGGGCTCAAGGCACCCTTCTGCCTCGGCCTCTCAAAGTACTGGGACTACAGGTGTGAACCACCATGCCCAGCCTACACGATGATTTTAAAACATTCAAATTGGGGAAATTTTATAGGAAAATCCAGGTTTTTAGCTTGTCTTAAAAAGTCAGCAACACTGCTCCACCCTCCCTGCTTCCCACAAGACACAAAGATACAATGTCTTGTTGTCCATGGTCTCCAGACCACTGGCCTCTATAGATACAGAGGGCTTTGTCCCCTGTCTAAACATTAAGGAAACAAGAAACTAGTTCAGAACTCTGCTGCCTTCTCTAACAAGGCTAACAAAAGGAGGCACAATGATGGGGATCATTTATACTCCAGGTGTTGGTCATTGTAAGATAAAATGTTGGGTGACCTTACAGAAATTTGGCTTTAAAGTTTAAATCTGGGTTCTTGAAAACTCTCTTTGATATGTTATGTTTTCAAAAAGAAAATATTTGAAATTCAAAAAGAAAAGTAAAAGAAACCGAGACTCATGTGAGAAACATTGAGCAATTTCTAGAAAAATCAAAATGTATTTGAATTCCTTGAGTTCATAGTGTCCCGGTTGGGAATCTAGGACCTCACAGTCTCTGGGCTTTGCCCAGCCTTGTTGACTTACCCATGGTTTCATTTTGATAAAAATAAATTCCAGTGTTGTTGAAATCATGGTAAACAAATTCCTCCTCATATCGCTTCCTGTTTTCCCTTCACTTAGGACCTTGTTCTTTGTTTATGGAAGGTTATGAAATTTTCTGACTCAATGCATTCTATTGGTGGAGCTTCATAGAGAGACATTCTTATCACTTCTGCTCAGCAGAACTTGGGGTGACATCAAAAATGTCTCCACCACTTACTCAAAAATCCTCAAACCAAAAAGCACATAGTAAGTCTTTGCTGTGAACGTTAAACAACATACCCAACATATGTTATTGTATGCTTTCCCTGTGAGAGCCAGAATTAAAAAGCATACTGACTGAATGTGTAATGTGGGGGAAAAAACTATGACACTATGAATCAAACTCCTGGTGACTTCCAGGCAGTAAGTACTATTTGAATATAAATACTTGGACATTTTTTCATTTATTGAGGGTTGTCTGAGGCTAGATTTCCCAGAAGCAAAGGGATGTGAGAAAGCGTCCAAGTGCACGTTGATTCACTGGGAGGCAATCCCAAGAAGCACTGGGCAGAATGGGAAAATGAGGTAGCAAAAAAAAAAAGGAAGTGAATAAATATTATGTTCTTAGGCAAGTTACCTCTGTGGGCACCTGGAGCTTAATCTAACTGGAAAACTCCTGGAGACAGTGCGTAATACATTCCTCAGAGTTACTCTACCCAAGGGGCAAGGAAGCCAGGGTATTTATACACAACCCCCCATGCTTGAGAGTTGCTTCTCCAGCATTAACTCTTTGGCATTTCTGACTTGCCCTGTTCCTGAGTCTAGTGGGTACCTTCAGTCAAAAAAGCCCCAAGGAGAGTGGCAGGTGTCAGCAAAGTCACCTCCAGCATGTAGAGGTGAGTGCTGAGAGGATGTGAGCAGAGCTCTAAATGCACCTGCTACAAGGGCCATCTGGTGACATACACTTACCTAGGCATTGGGATGAGCAATGAACACACAGCAACAGACAAGAAAAACAAGGCCACTGCCTTCAGTAAAGGACATCAGAGAAGATTTCTCTAAAATGCTGACATTTTAGCTGACTTTGATAAGCATGAATCAGCTATGCAAAGATGTAGGGGAAAGCATTCCAGGCAGAGGGAACAGCAAGTCTAGAGGCCCTGACATGGGAGCAAGGGGCATATTAAAGGAGCAGAAAGCAAAGGCAGGTCCGTGTTGCTAGATTGTAGTGGATGGGAGAGTGGCAATTGTTGGGAGGGAGGTCATGGATCTAACCCTGGGTACAACGTGAAGCCAGTGGAGGCTCTACGCAAAGCGAGCAATAATCTGATTGACAAGGACACACACTATGTGGCTGCCATTAATGCCATCCCCACATGTCCAGGTGAAGCGGACTGTCCATTATGGCTTTGATAGTTCATTATAGTTCATTGTTGACCGTTGCTTGAATGGCACAGATTATCTGCTTACAAAAGTAGAGCCTGAGACCTACATCCCCAAAGGGGAGTGAGGAGTTTGGGAGACCGAGAAAGAGAAGGAGGACATGCCAATATAAGGGGTATTATTGAGGTCACCTATATGGGCAATTGAGACCTGTTTTTTACACTTATAATCAGTGCGTAGTAAACATGTTTAATGACTGAATGAGCCAATAGAATTAGCAATGGAGATAGAGGGTCTTTGAGCTTCCTGATTAGTCACTTGTTTGAATTCAGGATGAGAAGCAAAGCCAAAAAAAGGAACCAAATAGAATGAATATTAGAGTTTATTTGGAAAGGGAAACCTGAATGTGAGCAGCTTTTGGTGGGTAAGGATTCTGTCTTCTGAGACATGTTAGCAGGTTCCAACTTTCAGGGATTTATGTCACTGAATGTCAAGGTGATGAAAAGTAACAGCTACCACAGCTGTTGTTTGTTAAGCCTCCTGCTGAAAGAAACATCTCCACATAGATGTTTTTCAGACATGCTAAACTTAACGTATTCAAAACCAAACCCCTAATTTCCACCAGACACTTCAAATATTCTTCCCTCAATCTTTCCTGTCTCAGCTAATGGAATTCTCCTGGACTCTCCTTTCTCATACCCATCAGTAAATCCTGTCATCGCCTGCTTCAAACTATAGCTGAAGTCAAACCACTTCTCCCCATCGAGGATCTCAGCTCTCCATTCCAAGACACCATCATTGCGAGTCTCAATTTTTGCAACAGCTTTCTCCTATTCCCATCAGGATAATTATATCCCACCAATATCAATTTCCTGGAAGTCTTCTCTGGCCTTTAACTTTATGACAGGCTGAAAGGTCATGATTCTGCATAGCTGTTCTTCAATAGAGGCACAAACTGTGTTTGCAGCATCACTCGGGGCCTTCTTCAATTTATTCTCAACTTTGTTCCCGGTCTCTTGGCTTCCACTCAGCTCTGAATTTCACCTCCTATTTCTAGATTTGCTCATGCCCCCTGGATATGTTGAGTAAGCCCGGTTTCCCTAAATAGATCTTTGCTATTTTGGAGTACAAAATTTATTCCACACTGATCTTCCTGGGCCATTATTCCTTAAGTCCCCTAAGTTAGGCTAGCATCTTTGCTCCTGTTCCCTGCATACAAATCAGATACCACCCCAAATAACAAACATCCAAGCACAGTATAATTTCCAAGGGAAAAACCACATGCTCAGGAGTAAGGATCAAGTTAAGGGTTTTCTTGAGACAAACAAGGACTAAAGGACTTGGTGGCTGTACCCTTCTTCACTTTAGATAGGCATCCTTGTATGTCAGCTCCTGAATGTTTGGGCATTTAATTCCCTAGAAGATTTTCTAGCTGTCAGAAATTACTAGAATTACCAGTCTTTTTGAAGGAGGTCTGTAAAAAAGACTGCCACCACCAAAACTGGGAAATTAAACATTAGCAATCAGACAATCTTTAATCTGTTAAATATGTATCATTCATATTCTAAGGAACCTACCATTATAACATTGCATCATTCTCAGTTGGAAGCACCAATTTAGGTAATTTATCCTGAGATGAGATGTGGTACTCTAAAAACTAGCAATATGCTACGCATTTCTACTTTTTAATTTTTGCATACATGTAACCCGAAATTAAGAAAAAGAGAACTAGGTGTTTTGCTTGCATAACTAAGAGTACCCCTAGTCCAGTACATCATGGAGAGTTGTATTCCAAATTCTTTGATGGCCAGGGTTCCTTATAATAATAAAGGAAATTATAAGTCTTTCCATGTTCAAAGTTATGTTTCCAATTTTTTATACTCAAAATGGATATAAATAAGTATAAAATTCCTGAATTAAACTTATTTTCTTTGAAAACTTTGTAGGCTTTATTCTCCTGAATTATGTTGTATTTCTTGTGATTTACCTATCTTATTCATTAGTTTGAAAGGTTTATTTATATTGCTCTAAGTAGCTAGAATTTATTCATTTTTATGTTCTATAGTATTCCAATATTGATTTATCCATTCTACTATTAATAGACAAGTGGGATGTTTTTCTTTGGTAGCCAAAACAATACAAACAATGTTACCGTGAACATTCATATTATCTCTTGCAGTAAATGTGCAAAAGCTCCCCTAGCATCTAGACCTAGCAAGAGAATGGCTAGATCATAATGTGTGCCCATTTTGGACTACATTACATGATGTCAAACTGTTTTCCAATGTGGGTATAAAAAACTCCCACTCCCACTAGCAGTGTAAGAGTTATCATTGCCCCACTCTTCACAGCCCTTCATATTATCTGAGAGTATATATATATATATATATATATATACACATATATATATGTATATGTATATATACATATATATGTATATATACATATATATAAAAAACTTTTATATATGTATATATATAAAAAACTGTTTTATATATATGTATATATATAAAAAACTGTTTTATATATGTATATATATAAAAAACTGTTTTATATATGTATATATATAAAAAACTGTTTTATATATGTATATATATAAAAAACTGTTTTATATATGTATATATATATAAAAAACTGTTTTATATATGTATATATATATAAAAAACTGTTTTATATATATGTATATATATAAAAAACTGTTTTATATATATGTATATATATAAAAAACTGTTTTATATATATGTATATATATATAAAAAACTGTTTTATATATATGTATATATATATAAAAAACTGTTTTATATATATGTATATATATATATATCAGCTTGAGTATATATACTCTTATTCTAATTGATAGAGCAATAGAAAGAGGGAGAGAAAGAAAAAATAGGTAACCCATTGTGATATTCAATAGTATCTTCCTGAATACTAATGAGGTGGATTTTTTTCTTTTCTGAAGTGCTTGTTCAAGTCTTATGCCCACTTTTCCATTAGTTTTTCTGGTTTTTCAATTGATTTCTCAGTTTTTCATATATTCCAGATATGTTCTTTATATTATTTATTTAACTTCTCTCACATGCTGGCTAGTCTTTTGCTCTCTTTATTTTCTGGTTACTTTAATATAGGCATATGTATTCATTTTATGATTAATGTGGAGTAGTTCACTGACCACCAAAATCTCTCTGTTATTCATGGAAGCAGAGCTACACTACAGTTTCCCAGACCACCTTGCCGTTAGGCAAGACCATGTGCCTAAGTTCTCTCCAGTGGGATGTGAACAGAAGTAATATGAGCCTTTCTCAAGTCTGGCCCTTAGAAAATTTCTATTATATTTGGGCTCTGCGATGCTCTTTTTTATTTGTCTAGTGGCCTGAAACAGCCACACCCAGGTTATCCTTGGAAAGCTACCTGATGAAGAAAGAAGCATCGTCTTCAGCTTATACCCATTAACAATTGACCCAAACACCATTCCCTCATTGTTACAAAGAAAGAAAGAAACTTTTTTATCTGTAAGCCACCAAAATTTGGCTATTTGTTACTATACAATCTTACCCTAATTAATATAATTAGTGTCATTTTATCTTGTTTCAAAAACTCTTCCTTAGCCACTAGCAATAAAGATATTTTCCATGTTATCATCTGAAAACATTACTGTGTGTCTTTCACATTGCATATTTAATCTACCCACCTGGAGTTTATTTTTTGTGGATGGTGCAAATTGGAAGTAAATATTTCCAATAATTGGAAAAATTTTATTTCTTTTTCTCCATATGAATATCCAGTTTCCCTAGCACAATTTATTGAAAAGTTTGTGGATTCACCACTAATCCATAATCCACCTCTGCCACATTTTAAATATCCATGCAAGTATGGGTCTGTTGGAGTGTTTTCTATCCATGATATATTTGCTGTATCAGATGTATTTGTTTATCTCCAAACCAAACCACGCTTCCTGAATTTCTATAGCTTTATGAGCCTTTATCCTTTGCTGTTTTCCTGAAGAGTACATCAGATATTTTTACCTTTTTAAAAAAAAAGTATTTAATTTTTAATCAATACATTTTAATTGCACAGTAAGTCTTCATTTAACATCATCGATAGGTTCTTGGAAAATGTGACTTTAAATGAAACAACTTACTATATGCTGTGGGGACTTAATTCTTGTTTATATCAGTCTATGGTAAAATGAGTTTTGTTTTCCTGTGCTTTGTTTTGCTGAAAGTCTCAATATTCAAAAACTTACCAACAATGTTAAATGAGGACTCACTATACATATTTATGGGTTATGATTTGATGTTTTGATACACATCTATGTTGTTTAATGTCCCAATCAGAGTAGTTAGTATATCCATCACCTCATCCATTTATCATTTCTTTGTGGCAAGAATATACAAAAGTCTCTCTCCTAGCCATTTTGTAATATACAACATTTTACTGTTAACCATAGACACTCTGCTGTGCAATATAGAACCTAAAGTAGGAGGAATCAATTCTGGTGTTCTATATTGCACAGCAGAATTATTAACCAACTTTTTCCTATTCTCCCCCTCTCCCAGTCTCTGGTAACCACTGTTCTACTTTCTGCTTCTGTGATATCGTTATTTTTTTAGATTCCACACGAGTGAGATTATGCAGCATTTGTCTTTTTGTGTCTGGCTTATTTTACTTAGCATAATGTCTTCCAGGTTCATCCACATTTTTGCAAATGACAAGATTTTCTTCTTTTTATAAGGCTGAATAGTATTCTATTGTATATATACCACATTTTCTTTAACCATTCATCTGTTGTTGGATACTTAGGCTTATTCTTTATCTTGGCTATGGTAAATAGTACTACGATAAACATGGGAATGCAGGTATCTCTTTGACATACAGATTTTATTTCCTTTTCATATATATACCCAGTCATGGGGTTGCTGGTTTATATGGTAGTTCTATTTTGTTTTATTTCAATAATTGTTGGGGGAACAGGTGGTGTTTGGTTACATGAATAAGTTCTTTAGTGGTAATTTCTGAGATTTTGGTGCACCCATCACCTGAGCAGTGCACAATGTGTAGTCTTGTGTGCCCCACCCTCCTCTCACGCTTTCCTCCGAGTCCCCAAAGACTATTGTATCATTCTCGTGCCTTTGCATCCTTATAGGTTAGCTCCCACTTATAAGCGAGAACATATGATGTTTGGTTTTCCATTCCTGAGGTACTTCACTTAGAATAGTGGTTTCCAATTCCATCCAGGTTATTGCAAATGACTTTATTTCATTCCTTTTTATGGCTGAGTAGTATTCCATGGTGTATATATACCACAGTTTCTTTATCCACTCATTGATTGATGGGCATTTTGGCTGGCTCCATATTTTTGCAATTGCAAATTCTGCCACTATAAACGTGTGTGCAAGTATCATTTTTGTATAATGACTTCTTTTACTCTGGGTAGATACCCAGTAGTGGGATTGCTGGATCAAACGGTAGATCTACTTTTAGTTCCTTAAGGAATTTCTGCACTGTTTTCCATAGCAGCTGTACTAGTTACCTTCCCACCTGCAGTGTAAAAGTGTTTCATTTTCACCAAATCCACACCAATATCTATTATTTTTTTGAATTTTTGATTATGGTCATTCTTGCAGGAGTGAGGTGGTATCACATGGTGGTTTTGATTTGCATTTCCCTAATCATTAGTGATTTGAGCATTTTTTTCATGTTTGTTGGCCATTTGTATATCTTCTTTTGATAATTTCCTATTCATGTCCTTAGCCCACTTTTTGATGGGATTGTTTGGTTTTTTTTTTCTTGCTGATTTGAGTTCATTGTAGATTCTGGATATTAGTGCTTTGTCAGATGTATAGACTGCAAAGATTTTCTCCCACTCTGTGATTTGTCTGTTAACTCTGCTGATAGTTTCTTTTGCTGTGCAGAAGCTTTTTAGTTTAATTAAGTCCCATCTGTTTATCTTTGTTTTTGCTGCGTTTGCTTTTGGGTTCTTGGTCATGAAGTCTTTGCCTAAGCTAGTGTCTAAAAGGGTTTTTCTGATGTTATCTTCTAGAAATTTTATGGTTTCAGGTATCAGATTTAAGTCTTTGATCCATCCTGAGTTGATTTTTCTATAAGGTGAGAGAGGAGGATCCAGTTTCATTCTTCTACATGTGGCTTGCCAGTTATCCCATTTGTTGAATAGAGTGTCCTTTCCCCATTTTATGTTTTAGTTTGCTTTGTCGAAGATCAATTGGCTGTTAAGTATTTGGCTTTATTTATAGGTTATCTATTCTGTTCCATTGGTCTATGTGACATTTTTATACCAGTACCATGTTGTTTTGGTGACTATAGCCTTATAGTACAGTTTGAAGTCAGGTAATGTGATACCTCCAGATTTGTTCTTTTTGCTTAGTCTTGCTTTGGCTATGCCGGCTCTTTTTGGTTCCATATGAATTTTGTTGAGGATTTTTGCATCTGTGTTCATCAGGGATATTGGTCTGTAGTTTTCTTCTTGGGTTATGTCCTTTCCTGATTTTAGTATAAGGGTGATACTGGCTTCAGAGAATGATTGGGGAAGATTCTCTCTTTCTCTCTCTTGTGGAATAGTGTCAACAGGATTGGTACCAACCCTTCTTTCAACGTTTTGTGAAATTCAGCTGTGAATCCATCTGGCCCTGGACTTTTCTTTGTTGGCAATATTTTTTATTACAATTTCAATCTCTCTGCTTGTTATTGGTTGGTTCAGAGTTTCTATTTCTCCCTGGTTTAATCTAGGAGGGTTGTATATTTCTAGGATTTTGTCCATCTCCTCTAAGTTATCTAGTTTATGTGCATAAAAGTGTTAATAGTAGCCTTGAATGATCTTCTGTATTTCTGTGTTATCTGTTGTAATACTTCCTGTTTCGTTTCTAGTTTAGCTTATTTGGTTCTTTTCTTGGTTAATCTCACTAATGGCCTATCAATTTTATTTATCGTTTCAAAGAACCAACTTTTTGTTTCATTTATCTTTTGTATATTTTGTTCCAATTTCATTTAGTTCTGCTCTGATCTCTATTTCTTTTCTTCTGCTGGGTTTGGGTTTCAATTGTTCTTGTTTCTCTAGTTCCTTGAGGTGTGACCTTACATTGTCTATTTGTGCTCTTTCAGACTTTTTGATGTAGGCGTTTAATCTACGAACTTTCCTCTTAGCACTGCCTTTGCTGGATCCCAGAGGTTTTGATAGGTTGTGTCAATATTATAGTTCAGTTCAAAGAAATTTTTAATTTCCTACTTGATTTCATTGCTGACCCCACAATCATTCAGGAACAGGTTACTTAACTTCCACATATTTGCATGGTTTTGAGGGTTCCTTTTGGAGTTGATTTCTAGTTTTCTTCCACTGTGGTCTGAGAAAGTACTGTATATAATTTCAATTTTCTTAAATTTATTGAGGCCTGTTTTGTGGCTTATCATATGCACTATCTTGAAAAACGTTCTATGTGCTGATGAATAGAATGTATACTCTGCAGTTGTTGAGTAGAATGTTCTGTAAATGTCTGTTAAATCCATTTGTTCTGGGGTATAGTTCAAGTCCATTGTTTCTTTGTTAACTTTCTGTCTAGATGAGCTGTCTAGTGCTGTCAGTGGAGCATTAAAGTTTATGGATCTATTTTTAATTTTTTGAGGAACCTCTACACTGTTTTCCACAGCGGCTGTATTAGTTTACAATCCCACCAACAGTGTGTGTTTTCTTTTCTTCACATCCTTGACAACACTTGGGGATTTTTGTTTGTTTGTTTGTTTTTGTCTTGTTGATAATATCCATTCTAGCTGGAGTGAGGCTTATCCATTCTAACTCACTGTGGTTTTGATTTGCACTTCTCTGATAAATAATTTTGAGCATTTTTTATATATCTGTTGGCCATTTATATGTCTTCTTTTGAAAAATGTCTATTAAAGTTTTTTGTCATTTTTAATCTGGTTATTTGGGGTTTTTTTTGCTTGTGTTTTTTGTTTTTATTTGTGTTTCTGCGTTTTCTTGTGGGGCTTATGTTGTTGTTGTTGTTGTTTTGCTTTTGACTTAAGTTCCTTATATATCCTTGATATTAACCACTTTTCAGATGCATAATTTATAATTTGCAAATTTTTCTCCCATTCCATAGATTGTCTTTTCATTCTGTTAATAGTTTTCTTTGCTGTGCAAAAACGTTTTAGTTTAATGTAGTCTCATTTGTCTATTTTTGCCTTGTTGACTGTACTTTTAAAGTCTTGTTTTAAAAATCATTGCCCAGTTAAATGTCATAAAGTGTTTTCCTGATTTCTTCTAGTAGTATTCTAGTTTTTAGTTTTACATTTAAGTCTTTAATCCATTTTGAATTAATTTTTTAATATGGTGAGAGGTAATGATTTAGTCTCATTCTTCCTGTATGGATATCCAATTATCCCAGCGCCATTGATTGAAGAGATCATCTTTTCTCCAATGTGCATTCTTGGTGCCTTTGTCATAAGTCAATTGATTGTAGATGCATGAATTTATTTCTGGTCTTTCTATTCTGTTCCATTGGAATATGTTTCTGCTATTATACCAATACCAGGCTGCTCAGCTTATTATCACTTTATAGTAGATTTTGAAGTCAGGTAGTGAGATGCCTCCAGCTTTATTCTTTCTGTTTGGGATTTCTTTAGCTATTGGGGGTCTTTTGTGGTTCCATATGAATTTTAGGATTGTGTACTCTATTTCTGTGAAGAATGTCATTCTTATTTTGATAGGGATTACATTAAATCTGTAGATCACTTTGGGTAGTGTGGGAATTTAGCAATACTAATTCTTCCAATCCATGAAAATTGGATGTCTTTCCATTTATTTTTATTCTCTTCAGTTTCTTTCATCAATATTTTATAGTTCTCAGTACAGAGATCTTTCACCTCCTTAGTTCAATTTATTCCTAGGTATCTTAATTTTTGTAGCTATTGTAAGTGGAATTATTTTCTTGATTTATCTTTCAGATAGCTCACTATTAGCATATAGAAATGATACTGATTTTTCTATATTGATTTTGCAGTGTGCACTCTACTGAATTTGTTTATTAGTCCTGACAGTTCTTTTGGTGGGATCTTTAGGGTTTTCTATATTGAACTGCAATTAATTTTTAACTCGGAAGAATTTATGCATTTACCTATTCTGTCATCCAATTTGTGAATGTAGTATATCCCTTTATTTAGTGTTTAATGTCTCTGAATTAATTTTTGTAACTTTATCCACCCAGATCTTTCACATCTTTTGCTAGATCTGGTCCTAGTTACTTCATGTTTTAAATGTATTGTCTAATTTCTTTTTTAATTGATTTTTCTTTTATATCTAGCAATCTTGCTACACTCTTACTAGAATATGGTGGTATATTTGAAACAAGGCTCTTTCTCATTGCTGATTTTAAACATTTAGGTTGTCTGTTACCTTCATTGTGAGGTTGCCAAATGTCCATGGAATGTTACACCAAATGTTCTCCCACTGCTCAGGTAGGAAGCTGTGTTCATGTATATAAAGTGCTGCCTACTCTACTTAACAAGAAGTTAATTAGGAATTAATATGGAGACTGCTGGCCTTCATGTAACCCATTATTTTCCAAATTTAATTGACATCAGAATCACCTATGGGGCTTATTAAAGGATGATTGCTGAGCCCCCCCTTCAGAATTTCTGATTCTGTAAATCTGCAGTGGGAATTTGCATTAGTAACAAGTTCCAGGTGAATCCAATGCTCCTCTTCTGGGGACCACTCTTTGAGAAGCACTGGTGTAAACAGTCAACTGAACAAGGATCCCCAGTAAAGTTTAATCAATGGGAGCATTCACAGCTAGAGTCGGTAAGAGTGGTGTGTATTACCTACTACTCAGGGCTTGGTTTTCATCCTGGCATCTTAGAGCTAGTTCCTGCCACAGGTATGAATGTTCAGTAAGCAGGGAAGGAAAATACTTTACACTCTTCTACTGTGTTTCCTGAAAGTGGGGAAGGTTTGGCAGAATCACGTCATGATTGGCTTGACCAAAGGATGTGCAAAGAGGAAAACATCCAGGGCACACAGACGAGCAGGAAAACAAACACAGAGCAGGCTCAGCTAATAATCTTAGGGCATTCAAGTGGATCCAGAGAAACATCAGAGGTGACAAATGGTGACTCTCCAACCCAATAACTTGAGTCCAGCAAGGTACTAAAAGGTAAGAAAATAGGATTGGCTTGACACTGGAGTTTTCTCGCCTGGGGCTACTGCTAGCAGGCTGTCCCCACGCTTGCCCCGCTGCCAAAAAAACAAAATTTTCTTCTTATACTTATTTCTACATTGGTTCTAACTGGACATTCCAGAAAAGGCCTCATGAAGAACGTCAAGCTCCAGATAGGTTCTAAAGGGTCAGGAGGAGGCCAGGCGTTGTGGCACACACCTGTTGTCCCAGATACTTGGGAGGCTGAGGCAGGAGGACCACTTGAGCTCAGGAGATGGAGGTTGCAGTGAGCCAAGATTGCACCACTGCACTCCAGCCTGGGTGACAGAGTGAGGACCTGTATCAAAAAACCAAACAACAACAAAAAAAACAACAAACTAGGAGGAGATCCTTGGGCAGAGAGTGCTGGCAGAAGTAGGACAGAACAAACAGGCAGTGGAATGACATTGGTCAATATACTGCTGCTGGCTAATTCACATTCAGAAAGACCAAGAGTCACTTCGGCCAGAAACGACTATTTGATTGGGGAACTTCGTAGGAGATAAGGTGAGAGGATTGCCTGGACTGGTATTTGGATGGTCTTAAATGCTGTAAGACTACGGAGTTTTGAAATTATCCTGTGGGCAATTTGGCAATGCCAACAGTTTGAGAATGAGTGAAACAAAAGGGAAACATTTGAAGACTATTCTGACAGACTCGTGTATGCTACTGAAAGGAAAATCCTGTCAGGAGGCTATTGAAATAGACTGAGGATGACAGATAATAAAGACCTGAACTCAATTTCATTTACTTCACTGATGAAACAGATATTGACAATAGACTAGGTACTTGCTGGGAAGTATTACAAGTGGATAGAACCGTAGGAAGGAAAATAAGACGCTATGTCCTGGACACTGGGCAATATGCAAAAGAAAAGCAAATAAGAATTTCTGTTCTCAAGAGTAACAGCTTTGTGGAGACTACATCTTTTTCTGGCAGGATTAACATTGACCAAGGCGTTTTCATTGTTCTCCTCTTAAGAGCCCTTTAGCAGACTTTTGCTTCTTGCTCATCTGTCTTCCCCTAACAGCTCCCTGGAATTTTTGATGGTGGTAATGCCGAATGGATTCTTCCTATAAATACTCAAGTCTTACTTGCTGGAAGTTTCCTAGGATTTTTTTTTCTTTTTTGCTGAGTTGACTAACAAAAACACATGTGAAACAGAGAATAGAAGAGCTGTAAGTCAATGAATAGAAGAGCTGTAAGTCAAAGCTCCCTTAAAATGATGCACAGGATGTCTATTTGTAAGTGGCCTTGAGGTTCTTGGGTACCTTAGGAGAATTAGATCCAGCAACTTTGTTTCAGTGGGTAAGTTATAGCTGTGTTGATACAACAAATACCAACTGCCAGATGGGAGCAAGCATCTGAGCTTCAGCTAACAATCTGTGGGCCAAACAATGAACTGATACCCACCATTCTGGGTTCTTAACAAGGTCTCCCATTGCATACTGACTCTTACTCCTGGACTCGAGCAAATCAGATGTTAGACTGCAGCACAGACCAAAAGGCAGGCATATGGGTGGCATAGCACTGAGTTAACAGACATGAACTCCAGAACATTTTAATAAACTGAGTTACCCAAAGGCTTGGGCAGGGGGAATAAGCCATTTAACAGGAGTTTAAATAGGTTCTTCTTACCTCCTGGTTTCCTGGAAAAGCCAAACCCAATCAAATTCCAGTGGCACAAACAGGGCCACATGGATAGTCTGGGGAGCTGTGGGGCTGGGGGAGGAATGCTTTTATATTAAAGGCAGTGTTTGTCTCTAGCATTCTATTACCTACAAACCAACGTGGTTTCAATTTAAGCTCCTGTTAATCTTGACCATTTCTTTCAAGTGTTTCTTATTTAAAATAGACATTCCACCCTGAACATTTTCATAATATTAACTGTCAAAGCCAGCTGTGATCTGTTTTCCTTTCAGTCCTCTACCAGATGTATATATTTGTGATTATTGATGCCCTATGTTTTTCTCCCTTTCCCTTATTAAATATATCATTAGTAAAATACAAGTCCAAAAGAAATTGCTTTTGGCTGAGAATCTACTATGAAGGAGTGAGGAAACAATAGCCAGAGAAACTCACAGATCATGGCAAGTCAGCCATACTCCCAAAAGGATTACATTGTTGCCCTGGTACTTTAATGAGGAGTTACTACTTTATGATTTCTTCCATTGTCAGAGCAGATGTTTTTGCTACACAGGCCACAAAAGGCAGGACAAGAAAGTGAATGTCAAGTTCATGTCTCAAAATAAACCATATGCTTGAATGTAGGTTTAAAGCGTATTAAAGCACATGAACTTCAAAGAAGTATTCCCCGAGAATGGCCAATAACTAGGTGGGCCCTGTTAGAATGAACCTAGAATAAACCATATTCAATGAGATGAGCATGCCTCCCTAAAGAAATCCTAAGAGCATCTTAATATAAAAGAAAATCAGATATTTTCCTTTCAGTACCCTAGCAGTCATGACTGCTTACAAAATTCATCTTTGTGATGGATACTTAGCGTAATTGAAACCAATGAAAGTAAGTCTGGAAACAGCTAGTAGTCGGGAGACTTCAGCTTCTTCACTTATAAGCACTAGAGAACGGCTTGACCAGAGAAGAGCTGCTCCTTTTAAGAACTCTGACTCTAATATTAGCATCCTACAAGCACACTGATCCACCTTTCTGAACTCACCATCCACACAGTTCTCTACACAACCTTTGTCCCTGGAAAGTCATCTGCATACCATCATCTGATGTTACTCTGCTATTTCTGCCTCATCAACCTGAATGTTTTAACTCCCAAACGCATGCACCTCTTCCCTCTAACCCAACTCTAGTTAACCTTCGATACCTATCTGGCTCACATTCCACCACTTCTGTGATGAGTTAAAAGACCACCCACTTCTAGGCTCACAGGTCACATGTTGTCTGAACTCTCCACACAACATATCAAGCATATCCTTGGAATATTGTCTAATTTTTTTCTTATACTTATTTTGAAAAAGTGTGACTTTTATATTGGTTTCAAATGGAAACACTGAAGTGAAATATATCACAAAGACACTATGTATAATGCCTATAAAGCAGCATGGTTTCCAAATTAGTAGATGACTTACCAAGTGATGGGCAACATAATGTTAGTCTTGGCTCTTCTGTAGCCAAGACTAGTGATAACTAGTCTGATCCATGTACTAGCTTATGATAACTAATACTGATAACTCATACTGATCCATGACACAATTATTACTGTCCAACTAATATTAGTAGAAAAATAGATTGGTTAGAAGGAAAAAAAGTCATCAGTAAGGTAGAATATTTGGTCAAATCTAAGAAGATAAAATTTCATATTAACAATGTTAGTCCTGAAACTGGTCCCAAAAAACAAGTTTAAGACACACATGTTAACAGTAGCATAGGTGACAAAGACTGAAAGATCATAGACTTCTGTAAACTCATAAAGAGTCAGTCAATTCTGTGGTTGCCAAAGTCTTTGAATCTTGGACTGTACTGAAAGTAATATGTCCAAAACAGAGATGGTTGTCACATCCGCTTGAGCCCTGTCCCATTCCGTGTTGCTCATACATTGAGTATGAAGTTTAGTTCTTTTAAAACAAACATGCCAGGCACAGTGGCTCATTCCTGTAATCCAAGCACTTTAGGAGGCCAAAGCAGGAGGATCACTTGAGCTCAGGAGTTCAAGATCAGCCTGGTCAAAATAGGGATTACCCGACCTCTGTAAAAAATAAAACAATTAGCTAGGCATGGTGGTATGTGCCTGTAGTCCCAGCTATTCAGGAGGCTGAGGTGAAAGGATCACTTGAGCCTGGAAGACACATGTTGCAGTGAGCCATGACTGCACCCCTGCACTCCAGCCTGGGCAACAGAGTAAGACCCTGTCTCAAGATGTAAAGAAACAGAAGCATATCCGTCGTACAGTCACCGTAAGAGTAATGAAGAACATGAGGAACCTAGTGATTTCAGTCAAATGCAGAGAGGTCTTGGAACAAAGCTATCTTCAAATACTTACAGGGTTGTCATAGGAGTCAGAGAGATTAGACTTGTTTCAACTGGCTACAAAGGAAATAACTATAATAATTATGGAAGACATGATAAGACAGATCTAGGTTCAAAATAAAAACTTCTTTAGCTATTAAATCATCCCCAGACTGTCTAAAGTATCTGAAGTTCTTCATTGCTGCAGGTAGTCAAGATACAGGCATCTAACCACCTGACGGGAATATTATGGATAGAAGGTGAACAGATAGAAGAAATCATCCAACCTTGAAATTCTTTTTTATGAGTAATGATGGAAGAAAACCGTGTACGAAATGAAGTTCATTTCTTCTGATTTAAGTTGTCACGGAAGCCAAGTTTTTGGGCTTCCACATTCATCAAATCGTATGCATTACACCTAGAATGAGCCTTATTTCAGAATTGAGTAGATTTTTAATAACTCCTCCCTTAACCCTGAGAATGATGAGCATGGAAACATTGTTACCACTAACTTTCAACAATTTTCTCCCAAACAACATGGCATAGTCTGTGTGTCTTAACATGACAGGCTCACGTCTTTCAGAAGTTTCTTCACAATTGCTGATAAGAAAATTATACCTAGTCCCAGGAAACAACAGATGCTGGTGAGGATATGGAGAAATAAGAACACTTTTACACTCTTGGTGGGAGTGTAAATTAGTTCAACCATTGTGGAAGACAGTGTGGCAATTACTCAAGGATCTAGAACCAGAAACACCATTTGACCCAGCCATCCCATTACTGGGGGATATACCCAAAGGATTATAAATCATTCTACTATAAAGACACATGCACACATATGTTTATTGCAGCACTATTCACAATAGCCAAGACTTGGAACTCAAATGCCTATCAATGATAGACTGGATAAAGAAAAATATGGCACATATACACCATGGAATACTATGTAGCCATAAAAAAAGAATGAGTTCATGTCGTTTGCAGGGATATGGATGAAGCTGGAAGTCATCATTCTCAGCAAACTAACATAGGAAGAGAAACCAAACACCACATGTTCTCACTCATAAGTGGGAGTTGAACAATGAGAACATGTGGACACAGGGAGGGGAACATCACACGCTGGATCCTGTTGGAGGGTGTGGGGCAAGGGGAGGGAGAGCATTAGGACAAATGCCTAATGCATGTGGGGCTTAAAACCTAGATGATGGGTTGATAGATGCAGCAAACCACCATGGCACACGTATACCTATGTAACAAACCTGCACATTCTGCACATGTATCCCAGAACTTAAAAAAAAAATTTAAATATTACCTGAAAAAAAAAAGAAAATTATACCTAATCCCCCACTCAGAACTAACCAGTGACTCAAATTCTGCCTAATATTTGTAGTAAAGGAACATTATTACCAAACTTACGACTTGAGGTAGTCCATCTTTATTAAGGTTTTGAGTCCCTATAAGCTACATGTTAACACTACAAGGAAAGTACTATCGTTACCACTTTACACAGGAGAGAAGCTGAAACACAGCGGTCGTACAACTAATAAATGGTGGAGTTGGGATCTGAACCTACACATCGGCTGAGAGACTGGTGCAACTGACCACTAGCATTTGACATTGTCAAATCTTTCCTGGATGACAATTCCAGAGTAAGACTGAATATTAATGTAAGAGAGTCCTGCTATGGTTTGAATGTCCTCTCCAAAATTCACACTGAAACTTAATTACCACGTAACAGTATTGAGAGGTGAGACCTTTAAGAGGTGATCAGGTTATGAAGGCTCTGCCCTCACGAGTTAATTAATGCCATGATCAGAGGAGTCAGTTAATTATCACAGGAGTTTGCCCCCTTTACCTCTTTCCCTTGTCATCTCTCTCACCATCTCTCAACCCGTCATGGCCTATGCCATGTTACGACATTGCAAGAAGGCCCTCACCCAATGGCACCCCTCAATCTTAGAATTCCCAGCCTCCAGAACCATGAGTCAAATAAACTTCTTTTCTGTATAAATTACCCAGCATGTGGTATTCTGTTATAGCAGCAGAAAACAGACTAAGATAATTTATTACAAAAGAGTATAATCTAAATGCTTATATATACAGTTGACTATTATTTTCCCTTTGTTGTTAAAGATGTTCTTAATCTCTTGTGTGTGTGACATTTTCCACAAATACCTGAAGTTAGAGGAAATTTTATCGAGATATAACGGTTGTAATATTAGTGATACCCTGAATTTTTAAAAATCCCTAGGGAGAATAAGGGGTTATAAAGACTATAAGATTTTACAATAACAAACATACTAGGAAGAAAGAAAAGTAAAGACCATTGGTTGGGTCACCAGTAACATTACTAAACATTCTTATGCTTGGAATCATACCAATGAATTGGCAAACTTACAGATCTTGGGCTAGGCACAAAAGAAAGCCTTTCTGGGCATCAATAAAAATAGAAAGTGATCCTAGAAAATAAACCAAAGAAAACATTTATCTAATATATACATAATGAATTAGAATATGTTGCCTTTTTATTGTACATATAACCCATGGACTCCTGCTTAATTCCCTTATTCTCATGTTCTACTCTATTCATCACTAGTTGGACCACTGACATCCACTCAACAAGCATCAGTTCTCAGATGACATTAAAGATAGGAGGTAGCAAGTAAATTCAGTATCTCCACTCAGTGGAGCTCAGAATCAGGTCATCCACCCTGCAGGATAATTCGGAATTATCCTCGTGATATATCCTTTAATTCTCTCCCCATAGCTGGACATCCAGAGCAATATTCTGATAATAAGTTGTCATGTCTTGCTTTCCACAGTCTACTGAAAAAGATTTATCTCCTATTCTGAGCTCCTGTTCCAACAACTCACACAGCCATTTTGTATTTGACCTCACTGGTCTCTTACCAAGGCTCCTGAGCATTGCTCCAAGTTGATATTTTTACTTCTGTGGTCTTGCCTTCTTCAGGGATACCTCCTATGTTATAGACCTGTTGGACTCCATTTTCCCTTTAGAAGTCAATGCTCTGTACCAACAGCATACCCCAGACACCATGGGTACTAGACACTGTTGGTGGCCCACCCAGATCCCCTTTATCCCAGTTCTGTGAGTGGTGTATGCTATGAGTAGCAGATGGTCCCGTTTTAGAGAATTGCCCTTGGCCAGGAGAAAAATCTCTAGAGGATGCCTGGGAGGCTATGATCCCCACCCTTGGGGGTATCCTGCAGCCAATAATTGACTCATATAAGGTAAC
Organism: Homo sapiens; assembly: GCF_000001405.40. Classification (NCBI taxonomy): domain Eukaryota; kingdom Metazoa; phylum Chordata; class Mammalia; order Primates; family Hominidae; genus Homo; species Homo sapiens. The sequence continues at coordinate 6,447,852 of NC_000020.11, read as the reverse complement.
AAATGCTTAGCCCTTTTGCCCCAAAGCAGGAAAACTGTGAGATGCCATTTATGTTCTAGAGTTTTCCATTGGCTCAAACTAGACATTAGCTGAACCCACATCTTTGCTTGGCTACCTGTCCTGCTTTCTTTACTTTTTTACAGATTTCTCCTGAGAGTTTTTTCCTCATTAAATCACTTATATAAGAATCTCCATCTCAGGTCCTGCAGAACCTGGCCAGAATGCAATGCTTTGACTGTCTGGATACCTTCTTTTCTGCCAAGCTCACTTTTCTGCATCTTTCTCATCTCTGTGGAGGGGTCTAAATGCTCCATGTTCATCCACTCTGCCTAACTCAGCCATGTAGACATTATAGTCATTGCAATGACATTTAATTACATTGCAAAGACATCATCCACATAGACATCACAGCCCATGCCTCTTGGACAAATAACAATGGAAAACAACTACAAACATTTTCTCTCCCTCTGGAGAATACTGAGCATTCTTGAACATACTTTACTAGTTTATCATAGATATGTGCAATACCAATTAAAATTAATCTTTAACTTCAAAGATGGAGAAACTATGTATCATAAAGACAGTAGAAAATCTATTATCAGAAGAAAGTAACCCAATAATTCAGTGACCACCCAGGAGCTGGTTTGATCTTTTTGGTCCACTTCTCTTTCTTCTCTAATCCCTGAGATTTCTAGTAGCTCTTTGAGAATAGTCTGAACACACCTAAAACAAAATCTGTTGTGGGATTTTTTTTTAACTCAGCTTATTAGGAAAATGATGGCTCAGAATGTGAGCCTATAGCCGTGGTCACTGACTTTGTGTAACTTCTCTTTTTCTTGATGAACAAAAACCACGCAAACACATTTTGGCTAGCTTTACTATTAAAAGCTAAATTGCTGGAATTTCTGCATCTAACAGTTTTAATGGTTCCCACATAAAAGGCATTTCCCTCAGCACAAGTCTGTGTTTGTCGCAATGAAAGTGACATAGCAAAGTGTGCTTTTACCAAGAGAAAATAATTAGGGTTACCTGATTGAGGAGGGGAGGGTGGTTATCCTTAGTGCTCACATGACCAATTAATGAGCACCATGTTGGTTATTTCAGCAGAGAGGATGATGCTGAACTTTGCCCTACAGGTACAGAGGCAATTGAAGAGAATGTTACTGCAAACATACTGTCAAAGTTAAGTGAAGAATCTCAAATGCCTATTTACACAAGGTAATGTGTGACATGCGATTTTTGGGGAGGAAGAGGGAGACAGTAATATATAGTCTGGCATGAATTATAAAATGGTTAATATTTTTGCCAAACTGTCATCAAAATAATAAAAAAACACCAAAGTTCAAGGTTCTAATTCCAACACTGCAGATATAGCCAGGGTAGCAAGTCACAGTGAATTATGATTGATGTTTGAAAAAGAAAAGAAGGAGATTGTGAGCTAAGTCTATGGCATTCATATTTTTATTATTATTATTATTATTTCTTAAAACATGTGAAGCTGAAGAAGAGATGACTTGGTTGTGTCTTTGCAAGAGGAGATTTAGTTCTAATTCAGGTAACCTAAAATAATATATTATTAGCTAACAGCTATTGATCACTTATTGTGTGTTAGACACAGCACTAAATACTTTCTATGGATTATCTTTTTAATCCTCACAACATCCCTACAGGGCAGAGACTATCATGGTACAGTGTAGTGGAGTGGGTTTTTAAACACGAGCATACAACAGAAGCATCCAAAGTACCGTTTAAAAACGGATCTTTGGGCCCTACTCCCAGAGTTTCTGAAGTAGGTCTGGTGTGCAGCCTACAGGTTTGCATTTTAAAGATCCTGGCTATGCGGAAGCTGCATGTTATAGGCATAATAACAGCATCTATTTTGTAGGGGGTTGGGAATGCCCTTATGACCTAGATCATGAAATTCTTGGCCTATAGCAGGTACTAAGAAAATGTTTACCAAATTATTTTACAGATGACAAAAACTAAAGCACCTAAAGATTAAGTTAACCATCTCACAGGTAGCAACTGTAGGGTCTGCTCCTGCACCTAAACCTCTCTCCAAGATGTTTTTTACCCTAGTAAACTATCTCTCAAATAATATTTTGAAAAAATATCTGATATGCTAGTAGCAAGAAACTAGAAAGCAGTGGTTCTTTACTTTTGGTTCACATTGGAATCAATGTGATTGATATTGATTCCAACGTGAGCCATAGCTAAAGGAAATGAGATAATTTTTAAAACTACTGATGACTGGGTCTCATTCCCAGAGACGCTGATATAGCTGACCTGGAATGTGACCTGAGTACTGGGTTCTTAAACTTCCCTGGGTGATTCTAATGCAACCAAAGTTGTACATCAGTTACATTCTAGAGCAGCAGTCCCCAACTTTTCGGCACCAGGGACTGGTTTTGTAGAAGACAATTTTTTCACAGATGGGGGTGGAGGGTGATGGTTTCAGGATGAAACTCTTCCACCTCAGATCATCAGGCATTAGTTAGAGTCTCATATGGGGTGTGCAACCTAGATCCCTCGCGTGTGCATTTCACAATAGGGTTCAGGCTCCTATAAGAATCTAATGTCCCTGATCTGAAAGGAGGTGGAGCTCAGGCAGTAATGCTTGCTCGCCTGCAGCTCACATCCTGCTGTGCAGCCCAGTTCTTAACAGGCCACGGACTGGTACCAGTCCACAGCCCAGGGACTTGGGAACCCCTATTCTAGAGACATAGACTTGCTATTCACTTCCCAAAAGAAGATTTCAAATGGTGGAAATAGAATTCACTGACTTGAAGCTATTCCAATCTGATATTAAAGCACTAGTAAATATCAATTCAATTGTGGATTATTTTAATGAGAGAAATGTTCCTATAACTATATGCAGTAAATCCTCACTTAATGTCATCAACAGGTTCCTGAAAACTGTTACATTAGGCAAAACAACGTACAGCAGGCCTTCAAATGACATCGTTTAATTCAATGTTGTTTTGTCATATAACATTGATGAGGAAAAAATTGGTTTCATTATAGAGCATTTTGCTTAAATTTGCAGTTTCAGGAATCTATTGATGATATTAAGTGAAGACTTACTGTATTCACATGAATACAGCAAAATAAAATTATTCTATACTGTCAAAGGCATCCTAGTATATATTTGTACTAATATTATTATTCCAAGTTTCTAGTGCCAGGATATTACTATAAACCTCCGTGTAACTGTTTATGTTACACTTTCACCATGATTTATGTCCTTCAACATTTGTAAAGTTTTGATATTCCTAACAGTGTCTTCTAGTGGGGCATTTAGTCTACTTTTGCCATTAATGTCTAATTTACTACTGTATTACCGTAGGCAAAATTACAGCAATAAGGCTTATTGAATAGTTCATAATTTCTTGACATAGATTAGTAAATCAGTTTCCTTAAACTGAAAGAAAAATTGCCTCTTGAAACAACTTAAAACCAATGCTCTTCCCATGGTTCTTATATTCCAGAACACTTGGAATTAAGATTTAAGTTAGTTTGTAAACATGGACTGTATAGTCCAGTCAACCTACTATCAAAGTGTATATATTTATTTTTTTAAGATACTTACGCAAAGCCAGAGTAATTCATGTTACCATTCCTATAGGCTCTGCATCTAGAAATGTCTTTTAAAAAGAGATTCAATTTTTTGGTTTCAGTATAGAAGACCAAAAATACATTTCAACCTCCCCCCTTATCTTAAGAGATGACAGGATAAACTACATAGAAGTGCATGCTCACAGGTACACACACACACACACAGACACACAGCGTTGTGCTAAAAACAAGAAATATACAAAATAAATTAAAAATTAAAAATATATATTTTAATTTGGATAATTCAACTATTGGTTAAGAGAGAGAAAAATCTATACATGTTGATTTGGAATAAAATCCAAAAGATGGAAAGTATAAAAGGCAAATTGATGGAAAAATACAATAGGAAAATATGATGTTTTCATTAAAAAAAAAAAAAACACTGTGTGTAGGTATTTATTTTAAAAGGGGGGAGCATTTTTAAAATACTCCAAGGGGCATAAACCGAAGTATTAGAACAGGTTATCTGGGTTTGTGCAAGAGTGATGATAGAACGGGACCAAAAATAGTATTTTTAATGTATGTACTTATGACTCATTTGAATTTGCCAAAACAGGTATATATTGTACAATATTTAAAACAATAATACAGACTATTTAGAAAAAAACACAATTGAGGTCATAAAAAGTTATTTACATGAAAATTTGGGAAACATATTATAGCAGAAAGAAATATCAATGAAACTGGAAGGAAAATACTTGGACTCTAGGATGAATAATGCCCATAATGAAAACTCGCATAGTCTTGACTTAAACTCTTCAATATGTAGGGATCACCAAGCCATGCTAGTATGTTAGAACTCCAGTCAAATTTCCTTTCATTGTTTAGGTAGTCAAGTTTCACATCATGAGGTTATAAACAGTTGAAATGTGTTTCCCACCATGTATGTCAAATGTATGTTTGAGCTCATCTACACAATACCTCGCTCCTGCCAGCAGAAGGAACTTTTAGAAGGCAAAACCAAGAAATATTTGCTTTCCTGGCTTTGAAAGTTCAAAATCAACAAAATATTACATCAAAAAATAGTTAATATACTACCAAATTATTATAAAATAAGCACTTGTGTTCAATTCTAAAATAAATAAGCAAACCAGAAGGAAGGAAGGGAGGAAGAGAGAGGAAAAAAAAGGAAAGGAAAGCAAACTCAACATTCCATTTTATTGATATCCTGTATGATACTTTTATTTGAGCCAATTTTTGACATGATCAAAACTTCTTCTTAGATTTCCTATTCTGGAATCATTGCTAGGAAAAGACAATTGTTTAGTTATAATAAATTATGTCCTTTGAGATGCTTGTTCCTAGACACCCCCAACAGCAATATAAAACAGCTTTGGTGTACTCGCCAGGTTGAGAGTGGTACAGCTGAAATACTGGATGGCATATGCAATTTCTGATCTCTGCACTTACTTGTCAAAGCAAAAAATGAAACAAAATCTTTGAAATGACACTGTGAAGCCCATTTTTCAGTCAGGGACTATCTCCAAATGGAAACAAGCTGGCTGTACCATTTAACTACAATTTCACTTCTGATTTATATCTAGCCTGCCTGAAAGTTTGGAATATTATATGGCACAAGATTGGAATTAAGTATGAGGGAGCTGGATAGTTCAATAAATAGTAAGTGCCGAATCCTCAAAGAAAATAGCTTCTTTAAAAATGACTGGCTTTTCTGTTAGACTCATCTTCAGTATTCCTGGAGGCAACTCTAGCTAAATAAATCTCAAGGCCCTCCCTAATTATATAAGTTCACCCCTGTGTCCAAGGAACCATAGTGTCACAATGGAGAACTTTGAAAGAAAACACAACTTTCCATTAAAGATCTAGAAACAATTTCCCAATAACTAACTTCAGGGGCAGAAACAAGAGACTGCACTTGATGTCTCTCCTATGGTGGGAGGTGCCAATATTAATACTGTTGTTTTGTTAAATTTATTAATTATAATGTGACTTAATCTCCTTGGGGTAAGCCACTGCTCCCTTGAGTTTCTCAATGAGGCTACCCCTCAGGGAACAGAGCCTATTAAGACCTGCAGACCTAGCTGGCCAGACATTTGTAAACCTAGCTGGTTTACATTTCCAACTAGATTCATGGGCCCAAGCATCACCTTATACACTTCACGGTCCTTTGATTTCATCTGATTAGGAGACATGACACACAGTTTAAAGAGAAAAAGAACTCTGGATATTCAAAGCCAAGGTCTAGGATATGCTCACTGAGAGATGTTCATCTTATTTGCATGAATTTTAGGTAAAGTCAGAAAAATGTGAAAATGTAATGGAAAGAATACAAATCTTGAGTTTAGATAGAAATCATTCAAATACCAGTCCTATCAAATTTTCCATCAAATAGGGATTATAATAACTTGGATGGGTGCTGAGGAGGGTTAGCAGTTTATATAATGCCTGACATAAAGAAGGCCTTTAATGAATGACAGCTATCATTGTTACTACAATTATTAAAGTGTGAAATTCAACTATTTTCTCTGCATCTAACTTTTGCTTTAAGAAAAACGTAGGCCAGACACGGTAGCTAACGCCTGTAATCCCAGCACTTTGGGAGGCCGAGGCAGGCGGATCACGAGGTCAGGAGATCGAGACCATCCTGGCTAACACAATGAAACCCCGTCTCTACTAAAAAAAGCATAAAAAAAATTAGCCGGGAGTGGTGGCAGGCACCTGTAGTCCCAGCTACTCGGAAGACTGAGGCAGGAGAATCGCTTGAACCCGGGAGGTGGAGGTTGCAGTGAGCCGAGATCGCGCCACTGCACTCCAGCCTGGGTGACAGAGCAAGACTCTGTCTCAAAAAAAAAAAAAGAAAAAGAAAAAGAACAACATAAGCTCCTCCCTCTTATATAATTATGCCAAATTAGCTGCCAGTTATCTGGATTCAAAACTCAGTCATAAGTCATATTCTAGGTAGAAATACATACGAATTGCTACTTTAAGAGATTTTATAAATATGTCTTTTATGATGTAGATTCCTTTGGACTCATTATGTCTGTTCTACCACACACCACCACCGTTTTTTATTGCCATCTCCATGAAATAAGTTTCCTATGGGGTATCTTGACATGACACTGTCTGGCCTTGTCTTGGCACCAATATATTATGTGAATAGTAAGTCATCTCTTCTTTTTCTCTTGAGAACAGGACAACTAAAATAGTGCTACTTTCCTTTATCCCAATTATGAAGTCAGACTGGCAGTGCTTTCTAGATGTTCTGGGTTGAATTGCGTCCCTCAAGAAGATACTGAAATCCAAACTGCCAGTAACTATGAATGTGACCTTATTTGGAAAGGTACTTTTGCAGATAATCAAGTTAAGATGAGGTCATTAGGGTGGGCCCTAATCTAATATGACTGATGTCCCTATGACAAGGGGACATTTAGACACAAAGAAAGACATGCACCCAAAGAGAATGCCATATGAAGATGATGGCAGAGGCCCTTGGCATCCACAAGCAAAGGAATGCCAAAGATTGCCAGCAAACAACCAGAAGCCAGGAAAGAGGTATGGAATAAGCTCTCCTTTGCAGCGCTGGGACGGCACCGACCTTGCCAGCACCTTGATCTTGGACTTCTAGCCTCCACAACTGTGAGACAATAAATAGTTGCTCAATCCACTCAATTCGTGGTACTTTGTTACAGCAGCACTAACAAACTAATACAGACGTTGATTTTGTATAAGGTTTTTTAGTATGTTCATGCTAATTTTTCTTATACCATTCTTAAAATTTGAGATATATATTAGAGTACTTGCATATCTATGACAATATGTCTATAGGCCACAAGGATCTATAGCTTCCAGTTTGAGAAACACTGTAAAACAGAACTTAATAATATTAATACCACATGTTACATGTGTCCCTCCCCTTCTCCTGGAAATGTAGTCCACAGGCAAAAAGACTTATATTAGAAGCTCTTTGGCATTATGCCAGATTCATGTACCAAATATTCTAAAGGGCAGAGTTCAAAGAAAAAATCCTAATAATCTGCTTTTTTAAAGCAGTCACATCCATTACATTGCAGCCCTTCCCCACGGTCCAGCAAGACCACACACTGGTTACCATTTACCAATATAGCAATGAGTTACTGTAGCATTGGAGGCTGACACTGGATTTGCAGTCTTAAAGGAAACATTTCAAAAAGCCACTAAAAGATTTGAGAAGAAAATCTGATCTCCATCAGTTTGTTTCCTGCATTTAGCAGAAACCTGCTTATTTGTTTAGCTCTGGGCAGGAGATATTGCTTCCCTTGATTTTTTTTTTTAATATTCCAAATGTTTGGTCTGAAGCCTTCAGGCTCTACTGCATTCTGTTTAGCCTATATTTAGAACAAAGCAAACACATGTGATTCTTTAGAACTAAGCACTTCTTCCAGTGGGCCCTGGAAAATTGCTAACCCCAAAATAAAACAATACCGCTTTCTTTAAATACTTCTGCTTACACTTACAGTGAGGAGATATTGACAGCACGTGTCAGTTTGAGTGACTGCAAATAAACAGAAGTGAAGAAAACATGGACTTTTGCTATTAAAGCCAGATTTATTTAGAGGAAATATATGACAAGTATCGTTATTTTCTCTAATAGCAATCTCAGGATATCTCACCCATGAAGAAAAGTTATGATGTCATTTGCACGACTTCTAAAGCTTTATTAACAAACAGCTCTCCCACATCTGATCCTACTGACCATTGATTCTAAATCAAGGACAATGAAGAAAGGTAAAGAAGACAGCCTGGTCTACTGAGAGAGAAAACCTACAGTAAGACAAAAATAAGCCACAAGCTAAAGTGACCCCATCTCTGCGAAGGTCTAAATTTACTCTCCACAAGTAGTAGCATCTGTAAATGCTGGAGGAGTTCACAATGGGGCACCCTGTGCAAGAACAGCAGGAAATTCCATCAAGTGGTCTTCACATTTTTCCCACAATTCCGGACCTACCACAAGTTCAAGGTTATGAACATAGGCAGAGAGTGAGGAGGTATGTGTTCTCACTCTGATCCCATTGTTGGGAGAGCTTTGAAAACTCACAAGCCTTCTGGGCCTCGTTCTCCCCATCTGTGAAATGATTGCCTTGGATTGGAGACTCTAAGGTTCATTTCAATGGCACAGTGGGGGAGAATTCAATTATCCAACTAATATTTACCAATTAAATTTGCTTTGACATTGTCAAACCAGCCATTTTTATATTTATTCAATACTTCTTTCAAAGTTCAGGTTCAACCCTTATTGTTAGTTAACACTTTTATACATAAAATCACATACCATAATGATTTTCTCAAGACATCATAAAAAAGCTTCCAATTAGCTTTATCAAAATTACAAGAGTTTCTGCACATTTAAATTTTGCTTTACAAATGGAAAAGAAAACCTGAAAATATAGACATTAATATTAATGATGGTTATCCTGGGCATGACAAATACTGGTAATTTGTATGTTCTTCATTGTACACATCTAAACTTTCTAAAATTTTCATAATTAACATGTATTTTATGTGTAACTAAGAAAAATAAATAGTACATTTTAAAGGTCTGTTTTAAACAATGCCATAAATCACACTATCACTCAAATTCTCTCTTTTCAGAGCACTTGGTATTTTATATTTATCTGCACTATTAGGATTAATGGTACTATAAGGGTATTATTTGCAGTTACTTTTTGCATTCATTTATTTTTAAACAACTGTTGAGATACATTTTACATATTTTTATAATTCATCCATTTTAAATGCACAATTCAATGACTTTTACTAAATTTACCAAATGATGCAACCATCACCAGAAATCAGTTTTAGAATATTTTATATCCCCAACAGGATGCCTCATTACCATTTACAGTTAATACCTTCTCCCAATGCAGCCTCAAGCAGCCACCATTCTGTTTGCCTTTTCTGAACATTTCATAAATATGAAATCATACAATATCATGATGTTGTCTGGTTGCTTTCATTTCATATAATGCTTTTGAGGTTCATCCTTAACGTAATATATGACAATTTATTCCTTTTCATTTAATAGTATGCCATTGTATATTTATGGCATTTTGTCTATCCATTCACCTTCCAGATGTTATTATAATTTTTATTAATATTCATTTTTAACAATATTTTTATTTCTACTATAGTGCTTTCCTTCTCCCTCTCTCAGTTGTCATTATTTATCAACTTTGTCACTCTAGAGTACAATGTCAAGCTACGTTTCTTTTTTCCAGGCTGTTGGAGAACTAAGGCTTCCTGCCAATAGGTAGAACTAATCTGCCAGCCACGTAAATGAGCCTTCTAGAAAACAGATCTTCCAGCCCTGGTTAATTTCCAGGTAACATCTTGACAATAACTTTATGAGATGCTCTGAGTAGAGCCACCCATCTAAGCAGCTCTCAAATTCCTGACCCACAGAAATCAGGTGAGATAATAAGTGTTTGTTTCTTTAGTCACTTAAGTTTGGATAATTATTTATGCAGCAATAGATAAATACAGACACTAGGTAGTCTTCTGTCTTCCAGAAATTAACGGAATCTTTGTTTTGCTTGTGTCTTCCAACCTCGCTCCCCATCCACTTTCAGCTTTATAAATTTATTAGTTTAATATTTCACTGCCATTTTAATAGGTTCAGAGAAGGAGATGAGAATATTTCCACGTTGTCCATTATCTTGAACCAGACAGACCTCAGACTATTTTTGTTTAAATGATGCACTTTCCTTAATGAAATCTCAACATCAACTGCTGGGAGAACCACTTTATCTACACAAAGTTGTTGGTCACAATCTATCCTTTGTACCTACTGATGACCTACTTTCTTTTTTTTTCTTTTTCCCCTTTATTTTACATTTAGGGGATACATATTTAGGGTTTGTTTTTACCCAGATATATTGCATGAGGCGTAAGTTTGGGGTATGAAGGATCACATCACCCAAGTACTGAGCATAGTAGCCATCAGTTAGTTTTTCAACCAGTGCCCCCTTTCCTGTCTTTCTCCCTCCCTTCTCTAGCAGTCCCCAGTGTCTATTGTTGCCGTATTTATGTCTGAGAATACCCAATGTTTAGCTCCTACTTATAAGTGAGAACATGTGGTACTCAGTGTTCTGTTCCTGCATTAATTCACTTAGGATAATGGCTTTCAGCTGCATCCATGTTGCTACAAAGGACATGGTTTCATTCTTTTTATGGCTGCATAGTATTCCATAATGTATATGTACCATATTTTCTTTATCCAATCCACTGTTGATAGGCACCTAGATTGATTCCACATCTTTGCTATTATGAATAGTGCTGCAATGAACAGGCAAATGCATATGTCTTTTGGTAGAACAATTTGCTATCTTTTAACAATCTACTTTCTTAAGGTAATAAGAAAATTTGTTAAAATTTCTGAAGAAGATGGAAAGGAACAACTGTGTGGACATGAAAATCACCTGGGCAATTTATCTAAAATGCTAATTTTCATACCTACTTATAAAGTTTCTTATATGGGAAAGTTTTGGTGCATTTTTACAGCAATATCATGGACAATGGAATAGAATAGTCCAAAAATAGAACAAACTAACCACAGAACTTTAGTACATGGTGACAATGACATCTTAAATAATTAGGTTAAAGATTAACTTTTAATAAATGGTGCTGGGCCAACAGGTTTACTAATTGAAAATAGATAAGACCAAATCCCTATCTCACACCATACATAAGAATAGACTACTATTAAATCAGGGATCTACTATTAAAAAATCTTTTTAATGTGTAAATTCTTTTATAACTTGGTGATAACAAAAGTTTTTCTAATTATGACTAAAATATGGATGCAATAAAAAACACCCCAGATGGTTCTGTTGCAGGCTATCCCCAGAGGTGACGCATAAGGATATCATAAATACATGTAGCTGAGAAGTATATGTGCGTACCATGTCTATTAGGCTTATGGTAAAAACTGAATTGAATTTTTATGATTTGTGTTGTGTACTGTATTTGAATGAACTTTTTTTAATTCCTAAAAAGACTAGACATCTCCTATTCATTATTTCACTCTTCACTAGACCACTTATTAAAAATCTCCTTACCTCAGCCAGGTGGAACTCAAAACAGGGTTTGTCCAACATTTATCTTGGTCAGGTTTTGGTTCTTCCTTCCTTTGAGTGTTTCCAATATCTTTGACAAATTGTCTCCTTCTCCCACACCATAAATGGCTTGTTACATAGTCAAGAGAAGCTTCTGAGGTCTTATATGTACCTTACAGAGATTAAACATTTCTTACCTCCTCTGAGAAAATGTCAGCCTCCAACAAAACAAAACTTGCACTTGAATTCACCAACCAGGCAAGAAAAAAAATCACTCCTCCAATTCCAGCCAATACTTAGTAGAAGAAGAGAGGATAGCTTTTTACCTAAGTATTATTTTCAAAGCAGCGAATTGTACAGCTTCACATTTAATAATATAATTACAGTTTACAAATATACTTGTAAGACTTGCCAGAATTCACTTGGTAAACCAGCAACATTACCACTTAAGCTTTCCTTAAAGGAAAGGCCATGTACTTAGAAGTGACCAGCGTTCCAAAATATTACAATCACCAGGGAATTGAATCCTGTATTTGTAAATGCCCTTTATGTGACAACCAACTGCTGTCTACTAAAAAGCTTACTACTCTTTAGTAGCTTCAGTTTATTTAGCGTGCTTCCACTATGACTCTCTAGGAAAACCTCTTATCTTGAATAAAAGTAAAGACATTTGTCATTGTCCCATTGGTCACTGTGAAGGAAAAAGCCTCTCAGAAGTAGTAGAAGCTACAAAATAAGCAATTTTTCATGGTGTGAAGTTAAGGATACAACTTGTTTTTCTTTTTCCTTATGGATAGCTGATTGTCTCAGTGAATAATTCATTCCATTCTCACTGATATCCATTGACAGCTCTGTTTTATATATAGGACTTTATATGAATTCTTCCACATTCTCATCATGTTTTTCTCCTTGTTTATCCTTGTAACATACCACTGTGTATAAATTAAGTAGTTCTACAATAAATCTTGATATTTTAAAGGGTAAGTCCTCACTCCACCCCACCACACCCATCCACGCACACCTTATTTATATTCTTTAGGAGTCTCCTGGCTATTCTTAACCCTTTGCTCTTCCATACAAAGTTTAGAAACAGCTTGTAAAGTTCTGCAAAATAGCTTACTGTGTTTTCATCAGAACAGTACAGGATCTGTAGATTATTTGGTGGAGACTTGATATCTTTAAAATATCAAAACTTCCCTTCCACAAACATAGTATATTCTCTACATAGTTTTTTCTTTAATGTCTTTCAATAAAATTGTATACTTTTCTTCAAAAGGTTCCTTACTGAATTTACATTTAATTCCAACTATCCTATATGATATCATCTATCATCCAGAATAGATAGTAGAGATAGACAGAATGATTGAGGGATAAAGAGATATATACTCACATACATAGACAGAATTACTATGTTAAAAGTCACCTTTTGAATTTTATTTTTTATTTTCTGTTAATCTATAGAAATGTCAATTACTTTATGTATTAATTTGGCATCCAGCATCTTTGTTAAGCTCTTATTAATTCTAATCATTTTTCTATTGTTTCTTTTGGATTTTCCAGTAGACAATCATAGCATCTATGGACAATGATATATTTGGTTCTTCCTTTCCAATCTTTGCAACACTTATTTATTTTTCTTCTGTTGCCATATTCATAGTTGATTTTGCTTAGTGTTTGCCTAATACATCTTCCATCCACTTTTTTAAACTTCCTATGCTCTTAAATTGTAATTACATCATACGGAGGCAATATATTGCCGGTTTCTGTTTTCTACACATATTTTTTTAGAGAGACTAGGTCTTGCTATGTTGCCCAGGTGAATGCCTTGGCTCAAGCAATTCTCCCATCTCAGCCTTCTGAATAGCTGAGACTACAGACATGTGACAACATGCCCAGTTCAGACTATTATTTTTGAATTGGCTAAAACCATTTATTTAATTGTTGGTGTATTTGGATTTATTACTACTATCTTATTTTGTGCTTTTATGTTTTCATTTCCCCCTTTCTTTTCTTACCTTCTTTACTATTAATTTTTCACCATTGGATTTTTTCCCCTATTACTTTTTCTCTTTAGGGATTGCCCTAAAATACTGAATAAGAAAATGTAATTCAATATAATATAGTAAATCAGTATATTTTTCCATGAGACCAAAACAGTGCCTTAAAATTATTTGCCACTTATTTCTCTTTTCACATTTCTTATTCAACACTTTAGTTTTATCTTATTTTTCTAACCTATAAATTAGATATTTATTTATGTAGTAAATGTTTATTTAGATAAACATGTACCATATTTTTGGCATGCAGTTGTTTGCATCAAAATAGCTTCTACTTGAGATTTTTACTTTTCCAGAAAGGCATATTTTAGAAATTTTAATTGAAATTTATAAGTAACATTTTTATGTTGATTTTTTTTCTTTGTCCTACACAGATGGGTTTATAGGATATTCAGTTTTAGATTGGCAGTAATTTTCTCTCAGAAAGTTGAAGATATCATTCTATGGTTTTCTGTTTCGTATTGTTGCTGTCAAAAGTCAGTTTGTAACCTTATTTTTGGCATTTGTAAGTAGTTTCCCCTTTTTCCTTGGTTGCTTTTAAAATAATTTTCTTGTCTTTGGTCTTGCAGTTTTATAATAATGTGTCTAACTATAGGTTGCCTTCTATTTATTCTACTTGAGATTCACTGGGCTTTGTGAAACTGATAATTCATGCCTTACATCGATTGTGGAAAATAGTCATTATCTCTTCAAATATTGCCTTTGTTCCATTATTCCTGTTTTATTATTCTAGAAATCCATTTATAAGCATATTAGATATTTTCATTCTTTAATCCTTTTCTTCTATCTTTTTTATATTTTCTATCATTTTATCTGTGTCACTTATTTATTTTTACATTCTAGTTTATTTTTTCTACAACAATACATGATATTGTTTAGCATTTCATTAAGTTTACAGGTTCAATTATTATATATTTCAGTTGAATTCAGTTGAAAAATTTTGCCTGGTCATTTTGACAGTCCCTTGTTCTCATTCTTATCCTTATGATCCTCTGGCCTCCCTGATGGTAGCTTTTTCTCTCATCCATTTGGTGATTTTTGGTGTTAAATTCATGCTTCTAGGAACTTCATAATGGGAAGTATTTATCTGATGGGCCTGATAAAATGTCCTTTTTCCAGATAATATTTGAGTTTGCTAACACCAGATACTTGGGAGGAATGCCAATCTGAGGTCACCATAAATTTTAGATTTTTTAAAATTTTTTGAGTAACTATTCCCTGAGTATTTTCCAAAACTGATATAAGACACCAAAAAACAGACTCAATAAGCTCAGAGAACATCTAGCAAGATAAATACCAACATACACTCACACACCTATACACAAACACAATGCTGGGGAAATCATATTCAAACTGCTGAAAATCGCATATAAAGAGAAAATATTAAAGGCAGCCAGAGGAAAAAGACACATTGTCTGCAGTAGAATAAAGATAAGATTTCTCATCATAAACCATGCAAGCAAGAAGACAAAGGAGTGGCATCTGTAAAGTGCTGAAACAAAAATCCTGTCTGATTAGAATTCCAAACCCAGAAAAAATACCTTTCAAAAGTGAAGAAGGAAGAAAAACTTTCTTAGACAAAAACTAAGAGAATTCATTGTTATCGAAATACTCTACAAGAAATATTACAGAAAGTGATATAATAACAGTTAAAACAGCTCTAAACAAAGAAAGAAAAAGCACTTGAAATGGAATAAATGAAGGTAAAATAATTTTTTCTTACTTGTAATTGCTATATGAGAAAACTAATGCAAAAATAGTGACAATTTATGTACATTTATAGCATATGTAAAAGTAAAACATATGGCAGTATTAGCATGTCTTCATTTCTCCATGAGAAAGATGAATTGGGAATATAGTGTTCTTCATACTGCATATGAAGTGGTATAATATTGCTTGAAGGCAGGCTCAGATTAATTAAAATGTATGTTGTTAACCCCAGGGCAATCACAAAATAAAAAAAGGTAACAGGAGATATAAATAACAAGTCAATAGAGGACATAAAATGAAATCATAAGAAGATTTAATTAACTTAAGAGAAAGAAAAAAAGGAAACTAAAAAACAGCATATGGAAAAATAGAAACAAGAAGATAGTAGATTTTAATACAATCATACTGGTAATCACTTTGAGTGTGGATGATCTAAACTCCCAGTCAAAAGAGAGACATTGGCAGACTGAATATAAAAGCCAAATTCAACTTTATGCTGCTTCCAACAAAGAATGGGCCCATCATGATTAAAGAAGACAGGGAAATCAGATGGTGTCATATAAGAAGCTGATCACTGATCCAAGCCTTTGGTATTTCTTCCTAGCTTCTCCAGATCTATGTGTTCCACCCAAATTATGTAGGTAACAAGACAAAAGAGATCCCCTAAGGGGATCTTGTCAAAAACTAAAAATAGTTAAGAAATTACTTTGCCTCACATACTTTTCCTCTTCCATCATTAGCCTACAATTCAGTAGGATATTACTAGGCTTTTATTTCATTTCATTTCAACAGAATTTATGTCAAAGTTTATAAATGGTTTATGTAAGATCTTTTAAAAAAAACATTTTGTGCAAACTCCTAAACCTTAAGGAATAGTCTATGAATAGCTGACACAAGAAAAGTAAATTAGCAAAGACTTACAAACCTCATGTGAAAGAGTCACAGACACACTTGATCAATTATGTCATATCAAATTAAAGAATTATCCATTCCGTGGAATATAATCACAGTGATGTTTTTATAAATGAAGAAGATGGGTTCCACATTTCTTTGTCAGAAATAATAACTAGAGGTAGAAACCCTAAAATCCCATTATGAGACTTGAGTTAAGGGGAATTATGGATGAAAATTATTAGGTACAAACTGAAGTAGCATCAAATGTTTCAGCCAACTTGAAAATACATGTGTGGGTACAAGGGTGGGGAAGTGAGGACCAAGATACTGAAGCTTCTGAGAGCTGAAGAAAGGGGCTAAACTGTGTTCAGGAAGAAAATAATTAGAAAAAATAATTGCAAACACTTATGATATACTATTCAGTTACATTGACTTATTTAAGAAAAGCAAAAATGTCTCGAAGGAATGACTTTTGAGTGATCCTCAGGGCACCCTTACACCTTTATATTTCTCATGCTTTATCTTAATAATTTACTTAATTGTTCATTTCCTCTGCTAGGCTGTGAGAATTATCTGAGGAGAGCTATATCATTCATATTTCCCCAGTGTATCCGCTGACTTTGTTAAATGAATAACATTTGCAGGATGGGGAAGACATGTCACATGTATTCTGCCTCCCTCATTATCCACAAGTCACTCTAAAATAATTACATCAAAGTAATCACCAAGGCCACCTAAGTAAAACTAGTATGAGACACTCATTGCTTCAAATAACCCTCAAAAAACACTCAGCCTCAAGTTCTTCATTCTATGACTAAAATTCTTTTAACAAAGAGAAAGAAAAACTAAAACTTCAAGCACTGTTGTATTTTGGTAGATAATTAGCCAATGAACCAGTGAAGATAAAGAACATCTCTCTGTATTAGTCAGCTTTCTGTTGTAATTATGCTGCATAACAAATAACCCAATGAACTCAGTGGTTCATATCAAACCTTTCTTTTGTTTCACTTTAATGTCTGTAGGATGGCAGGGGCTAATCTGATCTCATCTCAGATTCACTGTATTTAGCTTTGGCTGCCAGCTGAGTTTAAGTTTTTACCTCATGGTTAACCAGCATATAAACAGGACAGGTTCCCTTCATGGAGGATGAAAGAAGTGGAAGAGGTCAAGCCAAATATTGTAAGCACATTTTTACCCTAGGCTTACATCATGCTGAGTCCCACTCCTTTAGTAAAAACAAGTCATGTGGCCAAGCCCTGTAACAATACTCCAGGGCCAAGCCCTGGAGTGGAGAAATACACTCCAGATGTTCTAGGGGGAAATAGTACGATGTCCCATGGCATAGAGACTGAGCACGTAATTCCATAACAGACAGGTAGTGAAGATTGAGAACAATACTCAGTGCATTACTCAGAACTTTCCTGTTTTTGCAAGAGAAAGGAGAGAATAAAATGCTGTAGTATATCTAAGGATAGTTAGAAATGTGTAAAGCTGCACATTTTGAAGAAATAGTTCACAGATACCACATTTTAACCTAAGATAGACTCTACTTTC